>NC_000001.11:205305799-205457314 GCF_000001405.40 Homo sapiens
CTCCCAGGTTCAAGTGATTCTCCTGCCTCAGCCTCCCAAGTAACTGGGATTACAGGTGGGTGCCACAAAGCCCCATTAATTTTATATTTTTTTAAGTAAAGATGGGGTTTCACCACATTGGCCAGGCTAGTCTCGAACTCCTGACCTCAAGTGATCCACCCACCTCGGCCTCCCAAAGTGCTGGGATTATAGGTGTGAGCCACTGTGCCCGGCCTAGTTCTAGTTTTGCCATTCCTGGCTAGACACCTGGCAAGTTACTACTTTTTGGGAGGCTTGAGAGTTGTGCTCTGAAAATGTGAATAACGAGAAAACTAGCCCATCAATCTCCCAGGATCTAAAGTCATAGTAAACATCTGAGGCAGGCTGGCAGGGGAGGGTGGCCACTTACCTCTGGGCCTGTGTAGGGCTTCCCATTGACAATCTCTGGCGAGGCATAGAGGGGGCTCCCACAGAATGTCTGCAGGAACTTGCCTTGATGGTAGAGGTTGGAGAGACCGAAGTCAGCAATCTGCAGGATTGAGTCAAACACGGGCACAGGTCATGTCAAGGCCTGGGTTTTTCTGCAGCTCTTGGCCCGCCCTTCTCCAGACCCTGGGGAAACCCAAGCTCCAATAGAAGGAAAGGGTCCCCATGACCCTTACCCCACACTGAGCACTGTCAGCATAGCTCAGGCCCTGGAAGAACGAACCCTGAGGAGCTGTGTCAATAAGGAGCATCTAGACAGAGCTTTGCGGGGGCTCCAGGATCCTCACTGCTCCCCAGACCACTTTGCTCACATGGCATTCCACTACAGAGATGCTGTCTCATGCCCATATCCCTTGGAAAGTCTCCCATCTCCTTCTAGAAGCCTAGAGTTTCCAATGCCTCCCTGGAGCCCCTGCTCATTAGATCTGCCTTCCAGACAGACTGTACACTCCCATGCTGACCTCCTTGCCCCCACCTCTCCTGCAGCTGCTAGCCCAGGTGAGACCCTGCATGAGGCTCTAATGATGTTTAGTGATGGAAAGGAGGGTCAGCCAGATGGAGGGGGAAAGCCAGCACCTCATGATAATGGCATGGCCCTCAGGAACAAGCAAGCCCTATAACCAATGAACCACGTAAGACTTGAGCTGCCCTTCCTAGCAAAGGGCTCATTCCTGTGTGCACACCGGGGCAAGAACTTGGTGGCAGGAACCTGGGGTCAGCCCAATATAGCTAAGAAGCAATAATGAGGGCAGAACAAACATCAGGGCTGTGGTTACAGCCCAAGACTCCCTGAACCATCTGATATTGAGGGCTTGAGAACCCAACCCCATCGTCTCGTTGCCCGGAGAGACCCTTTCCCACCTATCCTCAGTTAGAGGCTGAGGCCATGCCCTGGTGCTCCCCACCTCTTCACCACATCAGAGGGTTATGTGTATTCAGGGTGGGGAGGGGCTGTTTATGAAACTCTGGCTCCTTTGTTTATGGTTTTATTGGCCTCTTATCAAGCAGTTACCAGTTGAAGCCCATAATGAAGCACATGATTGGTGCAGATAGGAAAGTTCATGCCTGTCCATGTTTGTGCCTGATTATGCGGGTTTACTGGCTCTGGCTTCCCTCCCTTCTGCTCAGCATCAAAGAAAGCCCCACCTGCTCCGGGAATTGGCTGGTAAGAGGGAATGAACTCAGTACCAGGGCACCTCAGGGTACAGGTCAAAAGCCACTGGAAGAGACTATGTCCTGGGTTCAGGAAGATTCTGAAGAGGGTCAGAGTGCAGCGTCACCTTCCCAGATGCCTGCAGGGGCCAGCCTCCCTGTGCCATGTCCTTCCTCCAGCCCTGAGATCTCAGTTTATCCCATCAACATGAACTTCTCCATGCCTAAATTTAACTACTTAAGCATGGAAATCTAGCAGCTGCAGAAAGCAGGAAGCTGGAGCTGGAGTCCTTCATCTGTGGGAAGTTTCCAAAGGGCTATCTAATTGTACCAGATTAAAGCATGCATGTGTGTGTGTATGCAAGTGTGTACATACATGAGAAGAACTCAGGCCGGGCCTGTCCCAAGGTTGTAGCAAACCTGACCTTAGATCTAGACTCCTGTCAGCCTTATGACATCAAAGGAGCACTCATCTGGGAATCAGAAGATCTTGGTTCTAGTCCAGGCTCAGCCACGTGCTAGTTGTGTGATCTTGTGCAAAGCACCCCTCAGCTGAGGCTCCAGCTCTCCATCCACACAATGAGGTGTTGGAATGGATGATGGCTGAGGTCCCTACCAGTACCAATGAAGGTCAGCCTTGCTCAGCTCCTTCAGGAATCCACCAAGAGCTTAGAGCTACTTGGCTGGGGACAGTGCAGAAAAGCTGGGGTGGGCAAGGAGGCTTCTAGAAATAAGAAGTGGGACTCACCTTGATATTCCCATTGGCATCCAAGAGGATGTTCTCCAGCTTGAGATCTCGGTGGACAACTCTGTTCTGAAAGAAGGAGAGGGCAGTCACGGGAAGGTCACCAGGGAAGGGAAGATGATGAGGGGCCCAGTCTGGAGACTGAGGTAAACACAAAGGGAGCCAAGTGGGCTTGAGCACAGGTAGGCTGGGAATGCCTATCTTTATCGGTATGTGCTGCAAGAAATCACGGGCCCTTCTATCCGCGGAGAAGGGACTCAAAGTCAGAGACACTGACATTTCCCTGAGAGTCCAGAATCTAGTTTTGCCTCTGTTTCTGTGTGATCCTGGACAAGTCATGGAACCTCTCTGGTCCAAAACAGCCCTAGAGCCCTGGGGACCACCCACTGAGAATATGGCTGGAGCAGGTAGGTGCTCACCTGATGGCAATAGTGCACGGCAGAGACGATCTGCCGGAAGAAATGCCTAGCTTCGCGCTCACTGAGCTGCTGCCGCTCGCTGATGTAGTCATAAAGGTCGCCCCGGCTGGCATACTCCATGACGATCACGATCTTGCTGCTGTTCTCAAACACTGGGCAGAGCAAGGCAAGGAACGTCAGGCCCTCCCAGAGTGCACTGCTCTCCACTGGGGGTGACTCACTCCTCCCCGACCCCAGGCCCCAAACCAGACAGGACCCCCCTCCAGGAATATCTGCTAATGGGGCTATACGGTGGCAAATAAGGGCAGAAGAAGGGCCTTGGAAGTTCTCAGCATCTTCCAGGAGCCATGAGTTAAGGCCAAAGACACTGGCTCATCCTCTGCCTCCGTGGAAGTTCAGGCTTTTGGGAATTCTGAAAATGACCCTGCCCTTTCAGGAAGGCAGAGACGTCACTAGATGGGAATGAAAGGCCAGGCTCCTTGGTTCAAGAACCTGGTACTTTTTCACCTTGTGGCCTTGGGCAAATCTCTTCTAGATACATGAGTAAGAATGCAGGTTTGCTGGGTGATCTTGGACAAGTCATTAAACCACTGTGCCTCAGTTTCCTCATTTGAAAAGCAGGATAATAAGGCAACCTCACAGGGCTGGGGTGAGAAATATAAAAAGTCAACAGCAGTTCCAGGGCTGGCTGAGCAAGCTGGTATAGGTCTGACATATAAACAAGCACTCGATAAATGGTACCTACAGTTATTTCTTTATTTATTGAGACAGAGTCTCGCTCTGTCACCTAGGCTGGAGTGCAGTGGCGTGGTCTCGGCTCACTGCAACCTCCACCTCCCAGGCTCAAGCGATTCTCCTGCCTCACCCTCTCGAGTAGCAGGGATTAAAGGTGCGCGCCACCATGCCAGGCTAATTTTTGTATTTTTTAGTAGAGACGGGGTTTCACCATGTTGGCCAGGCTGGTCTTGAACTCCTGACCATGTGATCAGCCCGCCTCGGCCTCCCAAAGTGCTGGGATTACAGGCGTGAGCCACCGCGCCTGGCCACAGTTATGTTTATAATCAGTGCCCTCATGCATACATTTGAAAAATAAGGCCAATAATAATGTCTGTCTTGAGGATCAGAAGAGGGAATAAAAGTATATTAAAGTGGATCATGAACTATAAAGCACCAGGGAGAGCTGAGATATCCATCACCATCTCTGACTTCCATCCAGAGGATCCAGGGCAGGGCCTCATGCATAAGGCCTTGTACACAGAAGCAATCAATACATATTTGGTAATTAATTGACTGGCTGGGTTCCTGGCAGCCACCTCATCCCAGCTGGCTCATCTCTCTGGGTAGGAGTGGCCCTCTTGCCACTTGAAGACTAGGTAGGGAGTGGCTGGTTCACCAAACTGGCCCTTCTGCCTGGTGTGTATTAGAACATGTATGTCCCTGACATTGCATCTTTGTGTCAAACGGGTCCTATGAGTTTGGCTTGCTTGGCCTGCCCCAGAGCTAATGCTGTCTAGGCTCTGAGAAGGAGTGAAGTGAAGAGCCTTCTCCCTAGAGGAGTCCCAGCTTCCAGGGAATTGGATACATGGCCAGGAGGACTGTCCTTTTGTCCAGGGGGACAGGAATAAATGGCCCTTATCTGTGGAGGCCCAGCCTCCTGGGGATGCCTGGCTGAGACTCCACCCCTATGGCTCTCATCATCTCTGCAAGGGTGCATGCAGCCTTTGTGCCATAAAATCGGGAGTCAAAAGCCAGCCAGGGCACATTTTGGAGAACAGCTAGGTTAGATGTCATTTCCCAGGACTGAGGCACACCCGCTACCTCACATCCCTTGAAGCCAGTAGCAGGAAGGGGATGAATTTGGGGGAGCCCCTCCAGACACACAGTAACTATGATGTTCTTATGTCTGTTGAATCTGAAGGTGCCAGAGAAGCCATACCCTGAGCTGCAGTGCTCAGTTCCCAGATCCAGTTGGAGATATGAGTGTAAGGCACAATTCACACACACATGCACACGCACACACATGCAGACACACACACACCAATCACCACACTCAGCCTAGCTGGAGATATGGGTGTAAGGCAGAATTCATATACACACACACACATATATATACACACACACACCCCAATCACCACACTCAGCCTGGCTTAACCAATACTTTGTTGTCTCCCCACTCTTCCCTGAGGGAAGCACACACAGAGATAAAATTAGCCTTCTCAGCCACTTGCCTGGCTCTTCATGGGACAGGCTTAAGCCACAGGGCTATGTCTTAAGGCTCTACCCTTAAGGCTCTACCCTTAATCTTTCTATGAACACGACCCAAGAGCAGAGACTGCTCTATTTTTTTCCCCACCAGGAATATACAGACAAAGGGCAGAGTTACAGTCTCCCTTTCTTCCCTCCTGTTGCTATCCCTCGCTTCTCATCTAACTGATATTATGTAAAGTCTCGACGCAGACAGGTGTGTGTAAGAGAGGGCTCCCCATCTTTCCTTCGTCACCCTCTCTTGCTCACTTTGTTGTCTGGGTCATGGGGAGGAGGGCAGCTGGAGTGGTGAAATCAGCACTGATGTCAGAGAAGAGGAGGCCAAGAAAGACAAGGAGAGGTAGGAGCCAGCCCTGTGGCAGGAATGATTCAGAGCCCAGGTCAGACTCTAGGAGGTCTGGCTCTTGGGACGCATGAAGAATAGCACCCACGCACCTGAGACAGGTGCAGGTCTATGTATGTTTCAGCCTCCCCCAGATTGCTAAGGAGCTCACTGGGTTGGGAAGGTAGTGTTCAAGTAGGGAAAACCGAATTATAACAACAAAAAAACCTGCAATTCCTTGAGTACCTCCCATGAGTGGAGCATTCAATGACATAAACAGTTTGATCTTTGCAACCACACTGTGATGTAGATGGGATTACCCCATTTTATAAATGAGGAACTGAGGCCCAGAGACTAAATTCAATGAGTTGTGCAAAGTCATACAGCTGAGTTTCAAATCCAGCTCCTGCTCTTCTCTAGAGCCTATATTTTTTTTACTTCTTTATGTTGTTTCTTCTGACACATGTACATACGCATGTGAACACACACATGCACACACATAGACCCCCAAGTTCCAGCTTTAAGTGCCCACTGTACCTTCATGGATGGCAATGATGTGAGGGTGGTTGAGTGATGACATGATCTCAATCTCCCTCCGTATGTGCATCAGATCTTGCTCATCTTTGATTTTGTCCTTCCGGATTGACTTGATGGCCACCTGGGAAGAGAAGGCATGAGAGTGAGGAGAAAGGTTTGGCAGAGGACACTCTGGGGGCCCTGGTCCTGGTGGTTTGCCTGTAGCTGCTATAAAGGCCACAGAGTACACCCATAGAAGCCACTCCATCCTTCACCAGTGTAGGTGGCAGAGAGGCTGGAGAGCACTTTCTCTAGAAAAAGATCTCACCTGAGCTGAGTGCACATGGTCCATGCAGCAGGAAGGAATATCGACAAGTCACCTCCTTATTCATAGTCTACAGATAGACAAGGAAGGTAAAAACCTGCATTTGCAAGGCTGATGCGTTATGAATTATAAAGCAAACGTGCCAATCTGCACCATGAGGACAAGGACCAGCCAGTTTTGCTCACCACTGAATTCTTGATGCTGAGCACAGTAGGCACAGAATAACTCCTTGTTGCATTAGTAAATGAACTGACCCTCACAACAACCTTGGGAGGTGGGCACAAAAAGCATCATCAATACCCTTTACAGGTGAAGAAACTGGGACCCAGAGAGGTTAGATGATGTGCTCAGTCATACGGTCACTAACTGGTGCAAGTGGATTCGACTACTGGCCATCTGATTCTGAGTTTGGTACTTTTTCTGCTCCAGTTCTGTAACTTGCTATAAGCAATCAGTCCCTAGCCACAAAGTGGAAACAACCCAAATGTCCATCAAGAAAAGTAGGGATAGGTCTGGGTGCGGTAGCTCAAGCCTGTAATCCAAGCACTTTGGGAAGCCAAGTCAGGAGGATCACCTTGAGGCCAGGAGTTCGCAACCAGCCTGAGCAACATGGTGAAACCCTGTCTGTACAAAAAATTCAAAATCTAGCCAGGTGTGGTGGCACATGCCTGTAGTCCCAGCTATAGGCGCGTGCTGAGGTGGGAGGATTGCTTGAGCCCAGTAGGCAGAAGTTGCAGTGAGCCATGATTGCACCACTGGACTCCAGCCTGGGCAACAGAGTGAGACCCTGTCTATAAAAAAATAAAGAAAAGAAATGTAGGAATAAATTACATGTGGTACGTCCATAGGATGGAATAGAATATTATTCAACCATAAAAAGGAATGAAATTCTGACACATGCTATAACATGGATGATCCTTGAAAACATTATGCTAAGTGAAATAAGCCAGTCACGCAAGGATCAATATTGTATGATCCCACTTAAATGAGGTACCTGGAATAGGCAAATTCATAGGGACAGAAAGTATTAACAGAACGGTGGTTACCAGGGACTGGGGGAGGGGAAATGGGGAGGTGTTGTTTAATGTGCATAGTGTTTCGGTTTTGTAAGATGAAAAGAATTCTGGAGATTGGTTTACAACAACGTTAAATTTAACGCTACTGGTACACTTAAAATGGTAACTTTTATATTATGTATGTTTTACCATGTTTTTAAAAATTGGTCCCAAAATTATGAAGAAAAAAAAAAAAAGCCCCCAAACACCAGTCTATTCAGTCCAGATGAGAAACCTTCCTCCCCTGACAACAAACAACTCAACAGTTGCTTGCTATCTCAGGGCTTGCTATCTTAGCCCGGCAAGATGAAAAACACCACATGAGGACGAAGCCCTCCAGGCAGTATGTGTGGTGGGCTCAGGAAAGGTGGAGAGAGGCAGGAAGAAATGGAAAGAGGGCTGCCGAGGTGCAGCTAGCAAAGCTCTGAGCCACCGAGGGTCTCGGTCCCTCTCTGCTCCACCCTCCTCAGCAGCAGCTCCTGGACAAAATCCCAGAAAATACCAGGGAGCAGGGCCTGAGGCGCGGAGCTGGGGAGAGACACTGCCTAGGGAGTCTGTCACTGTCCCCCTGGGCCAGTCCCCACCCCTTCTCAGAGCCTCGGGTTTTTTTTTTTTCTGTGAAACAAACAGGTTGAACTAAGAGATCTGAGGGGCTTTCCTGCTCTGAGTCTATGAAATTAGCCGTACAGATGCCACGGGGCCCTCAGAGGCTGCAGGGCTAGGTGGGAGCTGGGTGGGGGTGGGGTGTCACAGGGCCGGCCAGTTCCTGGCAAGTGCTGCCCAAGGACGCAAATGGTAAATACGAGACTTCCTCTTATGGGGGTAGGCAAGTTGTGAGAAATCTGAAGACCTAGACTGTGGTAAACAGCTCCTCGTTCAATTTCCCAGGAGGGTTTGCGTCCCCTCAAGATTCAAAGGGAGAGAGAAAAAAGGAAACCCCTGCTCGAGGGGAGGAGCCTCTAATCCACCCTTTCACAGGGCTCTGGAGGCAGACAATGGTTTCTGGCTTGCAGGGGCAGCAGGCCCTGCCGGCCTGTGTTCTCCATCGGACAAGAATGCGGAACAGCCCTAATCCCGTAAGAGGAGCTGCTCACAATGCCCTGGCCCGGTCACCCCGGCAACGGGCCAGGGATGGCGTGCCCTCCATCCCACTCCTCCCCCAGAGCTTCATCTTTGAAAGAGGGGAGGCCCTGCTCTCGGGCCCTCCCTGAGCAGGGCAGGGAGGACAATGGCAGGCGGGAGGGATGGTCACCATGGAGCCTCCTCCCCAAGATGCTGAAGAGGCCCATGCTGCAGCTGCAGGGGATGCGATGGGGCTATCCCCCTTCTGCTCCAAACCATCCATCTCTCCCTAGTGAGCTAAGCAAAAAACAAAAACAAAAATAAAAACCTGGGCTTGGAACTGGGCAGGGGGCCAGGGGTAGATGTAGAGAGGGCCTGAATCCTCCTTTAACTAGGAGGTACCTCTCTCTCCTGGATTCAACTTGGAGTATCATTCCCACACACCTCTCGCCTCCATACCCTTTTTCCTCTCCCTGAGGGGGAGATTTTATGGACAAGTTATTTTCTCTCTAAAATTCTTTGTTTAAAATAAAACAATGGATAAAGTTCTATGAGCTCTTCAGAGATAAAGGTCCATAAAGAGCAAAACGATCAATCATATATAAACATGAATCCCATATCTAGATAATCAAAACTATTTCAGAACTTAAGATGTACGCATAGGCACATCTTGGATGTACAGTTGTGTACTCGCAGATACAATAGTGAAATAAATCATCATAGGCTTAGGGGGCAGAACTCTAAAGATGACAAGGCCTAAAATAAATGAGGTTCCAAAAAAGGGAGAAAGGGGTGTTAGAGGGGCTGGAAGGAGTCTCTGCATGGGGGCGAGTGCACAAGTTGAACCCCAAGATCCATCTCTTTCAACTCCAGAAGCCCATGATTCTACATCAGAATTGTTAATCCTCATTGAACAGTTCCAGCCTCCTGCAAGTTTGTGCTCTGGCATCAGGGGGTAGGTTAGGGACCCACCAGGTATCCATATTAGGTCCCAGGAGATCACAGTACGGCTGGCACTTTCCAGGAAGCAAACAAGTTATGTCATCAGGCCTCTATCGGTCTCCAAGCAGGTGGCAGACAAAAAGAGCCATGCATCACCACCCTGGTGGGGCTAGACCACTGCTCCCCAGCCTATCCTGGACCCACAGGAGAGGGCTCTAGCTATCTGCTGGCTAGCCTGTCAAAGTAAATTAGAGCAACAGCTCAGGCCTAGACAGAGCTCAGCATACAGAAAGTGTTCAACAATTGTTTACTGGTGAACATAAATCGCAAATATTTACTAGTTAAGTCACTGGGCTGATGACCTTTGACTGAGATGGGAGCAGTGCTCAGATAAGATTTTCTCCTCTTCTTCCTAGACATGGGTGAAGTCCACCTCGGTTATAAGGACTAATTTTTAGGGACCTTTGTTCTCATCTGCAAGATAGCCAGGCAACTATTCTCTAGAATAAAAATATGTTGATTAGGCTGGGCGCAGTGGCTCATGCCTATAATCTCAGCACTTTGGGAGACCGAGGCGGGCAAATCACTCGAGGCCAGAAGTTCAAGACCAACCTGGCCAACGTGGTGAAACCCCATCTCTACTAAAAATACAAAAATTAGCTGGGCCTGGTGATGCATTCCTGTAATCTCAGCTACTCTGTGGCTGAGGCACGAGAATTGCTTGAACCCGGGAGGGCAGAAGTTGCAGTGAGCTGAGATTGCACCACTGCACTCCAGCCTGGGTGACAGAGCGAGCCTCTGTCTTAAAAAAAAAATAAAAAATAAAAATAAAATGACTAAAACCAAGGAAGAGGGTAACAATTGCTGAACCAATCACCCAGAGGCAGGAAGGCCACATGCCTGAGACAGTCCTGGTCTAATTACTAATATTGCCCCTTTTACTCTCCAAAGTATCCAAGTTTAGATAATACAATATATGGCCACCCTACTCAGAAGGGGAAAGAAAACCAGATTCAATGATAATAACATAAACCTGAACATCTGATTAGTGGAGATGGCATCAAGAGCCCAGGAATCGAATCCTTATTTGCCCCTATAGAGCTATGCAACTCAACATAAGTCACTTGACCAGATAAGTCTGGTTAACTCATCTGGCTGGTTTTCATGTCCTCATCTGAAAAACGAAAGGATATTTATTCTCCAGTCATCTGCTGAGTGCCTACCATGTGCCTGGCTGGCACTGTGCTAGGTGTTAGGGATTCAGATAAAAAGTGGACAGTCCCACAGTCCAGTGGGAGGACTGACAATTAATTAAACTCCATTCTATTGTGATAAATGTGGCAGTTGATGTCCCTGCCTGCAGAGAGGCTCCAAGAGCACTGGAGAGAACTTCCTTTGCCCATAGGAGGAGCAGGGAAACCACCTCTGGGAGAAAAACTGCTTTCGATTTTGAAGGATGAGTGAGGTTTGCTAAGCCAAGGGAGGTGGGCTAGGGAGGGGCAACAAGGGCATTCCAGACAGAAAGAAAGGTTTGAACAAAGGCCAAAAAGAAAGAGCCATTCACGAATTTGCACATCAGGATCTCTACGCACCCTTCCAAACTCTAGAATTCTATGCTGAACTTCTTCAGAAATGGGCCACCTGCTACTATGCCAGGAAGGTGCTAGCCAAGTATTATTATAAGCAGCCCCATACTATGGCCACGGTAGCCTGCTTGAGCATAATTTCTGATTCTGTCCCAGTGGTTTTCTTGCCCCTGCAGTCCTAAACATTGGAAAAGGCAGCAGGGTTAATTCCTCATTCTATTTTGCAAACAGCACACACTGAAGTCCAGAAAGGCACACTGACTTTTCCAAGGTTCCACAACACATCAAGACACAATCAGGACTGAAGATGGAAGGATGGTGCCTGGAGAAGCTTCCATCTCAGCCATAGAGATTTCCCTGCCTGCCTCCCATCCCTGGAGAAGGGAATGCCCCATATCTTGCCCTAGGCCAGGCTGTGTAGTATCACCAGCCACCCCATCCCACTTACAGATATACAAATATGCCCACTCCTCTGCCAACACCCTGGAGAGGTAGGTGCTGTGGCTCAATTGGTAAACACTGCCTCCCTCCCAGGGACTCAGATCAGGAACGATCTGGATTCAGGAGAGGATGGTAGAAAGGTCTTAGAAAAAGAAGATCCAGAGATGCTGGTTCCAGGTGGAGGGAGAGAAGGTGCAAGCTGGGCATCTCTGGTCATAGTTATCACCCAGAGCTGGAGCCAAGATCCTTGATTTCTCTCTGGCCTTTTGTGGAGCAGCTGCTGTCTGGGAGGCAGGGCAAGGAGCTAGGGGATGACCCATTTAGATAACGGAGGAGAGGTTGGGCTGGGTTGGCCCAGGCTGGGCAGAGTGGGGGTGGGCCTAGGGGTGGCTCGCCATCCCACCACACCAGCCAGAGAGCTAGGCAGGGATCAGGAATGGGCTCCAAGGGGAGCCTGAGCCACCTCCCTATACTGTGCTGCCCCCTCCTTGCCATCCTCCAGCCCCCTCTACCGGGTTGCTGGGCAAGGAGCTT
Organism: Homo sapiens; assembly: GCF_000001405.40. Lineage (NCBI taxonomy): Eukaryota > Metazoa > Chordata > Mammalia > Primates > Hominidae > Homo > Homo sapiens. The sequence continues at coordinate 205,317,629 of NC_000001.11, forward strand.
CCCTGCCCAGCCTTCTTGTGTGGTTTGGCTGGGGCTCAAGGACAAGAGTGGCCTGCAGCCTCCCTCCCTGCCGCTTAGCAGGCAGGTGCAGAGGGAGCTGGGAGGGCAGTGTCCTGCCAAGCAAGCCCTTGGCAGCCAGCCAGGCAGGAGTCCTTCTCTGGAGCTGGGGCCGAAGGAGAGACGAGGACTTTGAACAAAGCAGCAACCAAAGTGGTTTGGCTTAGGGAAGCCAAGCACAATCCATACTCTTTCTCAGGGTAGGACAGACCTCCAGGACGCAGGGATTCCCCAGGAAAGGGAAGGGCAGGACTTCATCAAAGCCAGCCTTGCTGGGATAATAACACTGTGTGTGTCAGACACTGTGCTAAGCACTTTACATATGCTATCTTACTTAATCCTAAGAGAATCCCACGAGGTAGGAATAATTATCACCCCTACTTTACAGATAAGGAAACTGAGGTACAGAGAGGTTGCACAGCTGGTAAGCAATGGAGCCACGATTTGAATGCTTGCAACCTTGACTGTCAGCTAGGCAGCATCCCCAACAAGGTTTGAAACCCAGGAATATAGTGTAGTTCACCCACCCAGAATCCTTCAACACAGTCACTGTATGTGAGGGTGGGGGTTGGTTCCCAGTGACTCTTCCCACCTGAAGCACTGCCTGTAGTGCTGGGAAAGACAGCGGGAGCTAACTGTTGGAATAACAAAGCACACTGAGGCAAGCCTGGGCTCATCTCAAGACCAACTCCCAGTCTAGGACTCAGTACTTGGTCATCCAGGAGCCCATATTGCAGGCATGCCACTCACCAGCTACAGGATAAGTCACTTCCCCTCTTCGGGCCTCAGCTACTCTATCTGTCAATGAAGGACTCGGACCACCTCAGTCATTTCCAAACATTTTGAAATCCTGCACTGCACTCCAAAACATAAAAAAGACAGAAGCACTCTTGCTCCAGAGCACCATACACTTGGACTCACGGCCCTAATGGTTCCCCTTGGAGGTAAGACTTCCATGCAGATCATCCAAAGGCTTTGGTGGACTCCACCATTTCAGAGACCCCAGCATGTGTTTTTCTCTTTAGGGGAAGGGGTGGCCAGGGGAGCTGGGTGAGTCCCAGGAGGAAATGTCATTTGGATACCAGGAATGTATTGAAGAGCCAGAGCAAATATTTGTTTTTCCTTTGATGTCCTCCTAGAGCAGCCATTAGTTCCGCCCACCTGCCCTTCCCTCAGCCAATCCCATCTGGCCCTGATAATCCCATCTAGGCAGGTTGGGAGCGGGAAGTGTGCTAGAAAGGTGGAGAGAAAATTGGGATGGAAGTCACCCAGCTGGCTTTCCTCTGAATCTAGCTCCCACCAACAATCTCAATTCATTCTAGGGGAGGTCTTGGGCAAGCTCCCACACCCCTCTCCCGCACTGAAGTATCCTGAGGCACTAGGTCTCTCTCGATTCACGAAGGACAGTCAAGAGGCAGGGGTGGGGTGGGGTGGGGAAGAGGCAATGCTCCAGAATTGAGAAACCATTAGCACAGCAGGCAGCTGCTCTCCAAGAAGGAAGGAGACCCTGAGCAAGTTCCCAGCTGCAGAACTGGGTGGTCTATGGATCAGGGAGGTTCACAGCAGGTCCCATGCCTACTGATCTTGGCTTCCTACATAGAGCAAGAGGCATGAGGCCAGGGAGTATCTTCTGATGTAATAAGAGCTGGAATCCCTGCCTAAATCCACTTAAGTTTGAAAACTGAAAGCTAGTTTATCTCATTCTGGAATCAAATGAGATCTCTCTCTTACTCTCTCTCTCTCATGCACATCCACACACACACCCCACAGTGACCTGGGTCAAGAGCCTGATGGGAACTCTGAACTTCAATCTCAGTTTCTCAGTCTCTGGGCCACCCCAGTCCCCACGACCCAGTGTCTCCACCCCCAAGAGGCACGAAGCACAAGCCACCAGCAGCTATTTTCCAGCTAAGCCCCTGACAAAGCCTGGGTCCAACAGCCTCAAGCCTGGAGCCTCACCGGGCCCTCACACTTTGCAGAAAGAGAAAGAAAAGGCAAGCCAGGAAGTACATGATTGCCCAATAGCTGTAACCTGGCAGCAGGCAACTGGGGACTGTGCCAGGCGATAGCAGGAAAAACATACTCGGTCCTATTGATGGGGCCATAATCTACCCCTTTCTCCAACATCCACTCTCCTTCACCAATGAAATGACTTCTTGAATTTCAAACCAGCTACTGGCTGCAAAAGCAAACACAATCTGGGGAAGTAACTGCTGATGTAGCCAATAGGGCAAACCATACACACACACACACACACACACACACACCCCCTCACAACCAGCACCCAACTGGATTTGGCAAAACATAATAATGCCTAAACCACCTGCTCTAAAAGGCTTGTTAAAATATACATTATATGGCCCTATCCTAGACCTTCAGAATAAATTACTCTGGGTGTGGAACCAGAGAATGTAAGTATTTTAAACAAACATCCCAGGTGATCCTTACGTACTTTAAACTCAAGTTTGAGAACCAGTTAACCACTGCTAACTAACTTTTGACAAATTTGCCATCCTTTCTGGGCTGCCCTTTCCAGAAATTCTCACTGCAAGTTCTTTTTTTGTTTGTTTCGTTTTGTTTTGTTTTGTTTTGTTTTTGAGACGGAGTCTCGCTCTGTTGCCCAGGCTGGAGTGCAGTGGCACGATCTCGGCTCACTGCAAGCTCCGCCTCCTGGGTTCAGGCCATTCTCCTGCCTCAGCCTCCCGAGTAGCTGGGACTACAGGCGTCCGCCACCACGCCCGGCTAATTTTTTGTATTTTTAGTAGAGACGGGGTTTCACTGTGTTAGCCAGGATGGTCTCGATCTCCTGACCTCACGATCCGCCCGCCTCGGCCTCCCACAGTGCTGGGATTACAGGCGTGAGCCACCGCGCCCGGCTATCTCACCGCAAGTTCTATGTGTTAGGAGCAATATAAGTTCATATTTCGATCTTATTCAATCCTCACAGCAGCTTGTGAGGCAGGCTGTGTTTTCTACAGTTCTGCAAAAGGGGAAACAAAGTACAGAGATGAAGGAAATTGCCCAAGGTCACACAGACTGCTAGACTCCTACGCTCGCACCAAAGTAACAGGGCATGTTCTTGAAAAGGCCCCCAAACCGAAAGGTGTCTCTGGTACAGTGGACCTGGTTTCACATTTTCCAGAATCAAAAACTCATCATAATGAAATTTCAACTAAATTTTAGAGCTGGAAAGGACCTAAATGTCAAAACCCACCCCGTGCCAGAGCTCCAGTGTGCTGGGTTGCCAGATTCTTGGAGTTGGGGAAATCCACACCTCATCCATTCATTCAACCACACACATATTTACCAAATACCTATTAAGATGGGGTGCCTTCTACTTCCTCTTTCCATTGCACTCTATTGAACAGTCTTTTCCCAGCAAAACTCAACTTAAGTCCCATCCATCTTATCCCAGGACACGACACGATTCGTTTTTCCGCGCCAACTATCCATAGCCTCCCTTTTATTTGGCAATCATCACAGCAGTACGGTGTTGCTGGCTGGGGTTCGCAAGTTTGCGACCACTGTCCCTGCAATCACGGACTGACACATCTGCCAGGGACACCCCGCAGTAGCCCCGCAAGCTCAGCGCGGTAAAGACCACGCTGGCCTCTCCGCCGAGCAACGAGCGAGCCGCCGCCCGCCCTCCTCCGCTCCCTGCCGGCGGCCAAGCCGGAGCCCGCCCCGCGCCGCGAGAGGGAGCCGCACTCACCAGGCGCCCCGAGCTCTCCCGCGCCTTCTTCACCTTCCCGTAGGTGCCTTTGCCCAGGGTCTCCAGGAACTCGTAGCGGTGCCGCAGGTTGTGCTTGTGGTGGTGCCGCTTCACCGCCTGCTTCTTCATTAGGGGCTTGGGCGACTTGATCAGCCCTTCCGCCAGCGGCCGGGCTAGCTCTGCGGCCGAGGGAGTGGGGCCGGAGCGCCGCGCGAAAACCAGCGACTCCATGGCGAGCAGGAGGTGAGCAAGGGCGGCAGGGGAATCAGTAGGCTGTGCGGGGAGGGCTGAAGCGCGGGGCACAGGTCCCGCACCAGGACGGGGAGCCACAGCAGTACCAGAGCGCGCAGTAAAGCACAGCATTCCAAGTTGTTATAAACGCCCTGAGCCCGAGGCCCTGGACACGCCCCCCGGCGCCCATTGGCCTGCTCGACGGCGGCGCGTGACCACGGCCGTCCACATTGGCTCTCCGGGGCTCCAGGCCCCGCCTCCTCCCCCTCGGCGTGGCCGGGAAAGGTGTCAATGGAACCCGCCCACCAGGAATGGGGACTAGGGGATTCCAGCGAAGGCCGCCTGAGGCCCAGAAGCTTACTCTGAGGGCCCTTGGAGCTGCACTTGCCTCTGAGTGGCGCTTGGTCCTGCTTAATGCCCTGTTGTTTTATTGTACTCTGTTCTCAGTTGGCAAGGGGCGATCTGAGGGCACTAAAGGTCACCAAAGTATTTCTTCATCCTGAGTAATTTGCTTGTCCCAAGCCAAAATCTATAATTGCTTGACCACTTCATTGAGTCCATAAAGGAGAAAGGGAGCTGGGATGGAACAGAGGCAGAATCCAGCCTAGTGGGAGGGTTAGTGCAGAGCTGTCCTATGGTTCGAGTTCACTTGTCTTCAGTTAGATCAACCTTACTTGGATATTGGAATCCAATGGCCCTGGAAACTTCTTCCTTCTTCCTCAAAGAGGGCTTCTTAGGCGAATCGCTTGAGGTCCAGGAGTTCAAGACCAACCTAGCCAACATGACGAAATCCCATCTCCACTAAAGATACAAAATTAGCCGGGCGTGGTGGTGCGCGCTTGTAATCCCAGCTACTCTGGAGGCTGAGGCAGAAGAATCGCTTGAACCCAGGAGGCAGAGGTTTCAGTGAATCAAGATGGCGCCACTGCACTCCAGCCTGGGCAACAAAGTGAGGCTCCGTTTCAAAAAAAAAGAGGGCTTCTAAGGTTTAGTAGATTCCCTCAACCACTTAGTGGAATTTATTTAGGATGTGTCGGCTGGAGGTGGAGAGAACCCGAAGGGATACATATTTATTTAACATTTTTACATGCCGACTATCTAACCTGTGTCCCTAAGTCTGAAAATGGTTGCTCCACCCAAGGTTTTCTTGTGATTTTGGTGCCAGGAGCACTGGTGGTAGGTTATGAGGTTTGACTTGAGACGGAGTCTCCCTCTGTCGCCCAGGCTGGAGTGCAGTGGTGCGATCTCTGCTCACTGCAAGCTCCGCCTCCCGGGTTCACGCCATTCTCCTGCCTCAGCCTCTCCGAGTAGCTGGGACTACAGGCGCCCGCCACCACGCCCGGCTAATTTTTTGTATTTTTAGTAGAGACAGGGTTTCACCATGGTCTTGATCTCCTGACCTCGTGATCCGCCCGCCTCGGCCTCCCAAAGTACTGGGATTACAAGCGTGAGCCACTGCGCCCAGCTTGACTTAGTTTTTGAGGCCTGGAGTTGCTAGGTCCAGAATCTCCACTCTGAGTGCTCATTTACAGTGAAATGAGAATGGCCATAGGTTTTCCTTCTTGCTTTAAATGGCAGAAAGGGAACATTTCCCCTTTGGCCATCTTGATAACCTAATCCTGTGAAATGAGTATTATTCTGTCCAAGGCCACACAACTGGTAATAAAGTGGCGGGATTTAGACCCTGGTCCTGAGGAAGAGAATAGAGGACAATAGACCTGGATCCTCTTCCCTGAGGGAAACCCCTTCTGCCAGCCAGTTTAGGGCCCTGGATGGATTCTAGCTATGCTGGAGAGCCAGCCTTCCCCTCAGGCCTTCAGGAGGATGGTGCCTCCCCTGTGTATCCAGGGCATGCTGAGGATGGAGAAGGACCCACCCCCAGTGGCTGCCCACTTTTCTACTTCCACTGATCCTTTGATTATTTTTCTAGTGTGAGTTACAGATGTCTCCATCCCTCCATGGAGCTCTTTATCTCCTTTGTGACTGGAGAGGATCCATCTTACACAGGAAACCAATGTATCGCTCCCAAATTTGGAGGGCCACAGGAGGTGGCAGCTGGTTTGGCATTCTTCCCTCCACCAGCCTCCCCTTTTGCTGTGGGTTTTCTGTGCAAATAGGATGAGGCCCAGAGATAGTTGCCTTGACTTGCTATCTCCTTTCCCCTCTGAAATCTGCTTCTATTCCTGGGGGCTCATCCAGATGATTAGAATTCTCAAAAGGAAGTATGGATAACATAAGAGCAAGCACAGGGCCGAGTGTTGGGGGACCTGAGTTCGAGTCCTGACTCTGACACTAACCAGTTCTGTGGCCTTCTACTAATTACTTCATTCTACAAATACTGGTGCCCACTAGGTGCTGAGCCTGGGGACACAATCATGACAAGATTCCTGCCTTTGGAATGTTCTCAGTCTAGTGAGAAATAAACAAGTAAATCCTGTACAGAGGGAGAAGGGTCCATGATGGAAGAAGAACAGATTGCCTTTTCTTTTTTTTTGAGACGGAGTTTTGCTTTCGTTGCCCAGGCTGGAGTGCTGTGGTGTGATCTCGGCTCACCACAGCCTCCGCCTCCCGGGTTCAAGCGATTCTTCTGCCTCAGCCTCCTGAGTAGCTGGGATTACAGGCATGCGCCACCACACCCGGCTAATTTTGTATTTTTAGTAGAGACAGAGTTTCTCCATGTTGGTCAGGCTGGTCTTGAACTCCTGACCTCAGGTGATCTGCCCGCCTTGGCCTCTCAAAGTGTTGGGATTACAGGTGTAAACCACTGCGCCCGGCTCAGATTTTCTTTAAGATATGTATCCCAGGTGGGAGGAGGCTGGTCAGGCGCAGGTTCCTAAAGCCAGGACTTTTTAAGTTGAGACCTGAAGGACAAGTGGCAATTGGCCAGCTGAATCAACATTTCTTCATAAGATGAAAGAATTATACAGATGAGCTTAACGCTTCTTTTAAGGCTTAATCTAGCTACACTCCTGTAATTTTTTCCAGGTATCCCCAACACCCAGTGTGCTGCGAGGCACCTAAAAGTCGCTCCATAGATGCTTATGAACTGAAGGAATGGATGTGCGATGGAATCCAAAGATGAAACTAAAAGCACCTACATGTGATTGGGCCCACTCCATTACCAGCTATCTGGCCATGGTCGGGAGGGAATCATCTGCAACTTCTTGGACCTTCTCACCCCTGCTCCAGCTTCCTTTGACTACAATCTGAATTCCCATCTAGGTGAGGAGCCATGGGTGACCAAAGATCACAGCAGGTAGGCAAGGAAGACACAGAGCCAGAACAGCATGTGACTCGGAAATGATCTAAGCTGCTGAAACTCATATCTCAAATTCCTTAAAGGAGGTCTAGTTGGTGGGAAAGCGAGAGTGCCTGACAGGGAATCCGTGTTGGTCGGGGACTCTGCCACCAGCAGTCTTGGGGAATTCCTGGGTCATGTGGTCGGATGTGTGGATGTGCTGAGATATCTGGGCTGAGCTAAGCTACTCTCAATCCTGCCTGCCCCACTATTGACTCCTGGAAGGGAGACGCCTACCCCCCAGCCCCAAGTCCCATGGCTGATCCATGTCTGAGGGGGTCATGGGGGAAAGCTGTTTATTGGATCTACTATGTGCTGTGCTGGGAAAACAAGTGGGAACAAATGTCTGTCCTTGTCCTTACACACTTCACAATTTGTGTGTGTGTCTGTAGGGGAGTGGAGGTGGGTCCAGACTGGTAAAAGGGGATTTGAAAGCAGCTCAGTGTGTGGACTGCTGTGATGTGTCCTGGTGGGAGCAGGGTGCAGGTAGGAGCAGAGGTGAGAGGCACCAAGGCCATGCCATGGGGGTCACGTGAGGGTTGGGAGCAGGTAAGGCAGATCTCAGATACCTCTAAGATGAGTCTTGAGCCCTGAGGATGAATTACAGCCTGTAGTATTCCCTACCTCCCCTCCAAGAAAGGGATGCAAATCCTGTTAGTCGCTGGCAAATTGGGAAGCCTAGCTCAAAGCTGCCCTCTTCTGACCAAACTAAGCCTAGCATGTTTTATGGGATGCCCAAAGCTGTGACCACAAGCAGAAGTCGGCTTAGGCAATTTGTTCCTCCAGTAAACCGTTCATTTGTTCATTCATTCATTCATTCAACAAATATGGACTGAGTAATTGCAATAACAGCTATAATGATATCTAACATTTATTAAGCCAGCCCTGGTTCTAAATTCTAAATTCTAGTATGTCTTGCCGGAAGTTTGGAGAATTTGTGCCGCAAACACTGAAAACAGCCCTCAAACTCTCAATTACCCTGAGAAACCGAATGTTATTCACAGACCAGGCCTGGGAGGGGATGTGACTGAAGGAGAAGCTAGCTCTTCTCCCCAAGCCAAAGAGCTTGCCCTGTCTCCATCCTGGAATGGGAGGGAGAGCACACGCAGAGAGACAGGACGCAGGCGTGCCGGGGTCCAGCTCCACTTCCACCACCAACCCACACCATGCCATGGCCAAGGACTTTCTCTTTTAGGGGTGGTTCCTTATCTGTAAAAGGAGATTTGGATAAACCAACTCTCAGTTTTGTTTCAAATCTGCTTTAACTTCTCTGCAATATCTAAGCAGGGACAAATTAGAAACCTCAAGGGCTGGGCGCGATGGCTCACGCCTGTAATCTCAGCACTTTGGGAGGCCGAGGCAGGCGGATCATGAGGTCAGGAGATCGAGACCATCCTGGCTAACATGGTGAAACTCCGTCTCTACTAAAAATACAAAAAATTAGCCGGGCGTGGTGGTGGGCACCTGTAGTCCCAGTTAGTCAGGAGGCTGAGGCAGGAGAATGGCGTGAACCCGGGAGGCGGAGCTTGCAGTGAGCAGAGATCGCACCACTGCACTCCAGCCTGGGCAACAGAGCAAGACTCCGTCCCCCCCACCCAAAAAAATTAGAAATCTCAGCCACTCGCTTTCTTTTGCCACCTGGTAACTGATTCCTTCAGTACTGGACATTCAGGAGCCCCATTCCGTCTCGCATCCCCAGGCTGGCATAATGTTTTTGGCTCAAGAGTCTGGCAACCTGGGCTTCAGGCTCTGCTCTGTCACTAACTGACTGTGACTATAACTCATGTCTCCACCACTTCATGTATAAATAAGAATTATTCTTTTATGCAGCTAACATACTGTGTGTCAGCCACTGTTCCTTAGATTTCCTGTATTCATGAATTCAATCCTTTCTACAACTCTATGAAGTACATACTAGCCTATGATATCCCCATTGCGTGTGAGAAAAGTGACACAGAGCAATTAAGGGCCTATGCAGGGTCACAGAGTTGTCAAGTGGTGAAGCCAGATTGCCTGGGGTCCAATCTGGCTCCAGAAACAGCACTCTTAGCCCTCATACTTTGGCTTAGAGAGGATTCCTGACTTGCCTAGAGTGTCAAGTAGACTAAGCTGCTCTGCGTCATACTTTCCTCATCTGAAATGACTACCTCCTGGGCTTGCTGTGGGATGAAATTAGAAGTGAGGTCGTCAGACTGATGGTTTCCTATCCGTCTGCCTGGCGCTTTGCTGGGCTCTGGTCCTCCCAAGTCCCCTCCCTCAATTTCGGCAGAGACCCAAGAGTGTGTGCGCGCACCTAGTGTGTGTGTGACAGCGAGGGGTTATCAGAGTTCCCTGAGCTCCAGCTGACCTGATTTGGGACAGAAGACAGTTAAGATAAGCTCAGAGCTAGGAAGTGGTCATTGAAACAGCCCAAGGCTGGACCTCTGTGTTAAGGGAGGGAGGAAGGAGCTGATCTGAGAGAGAAAAGAAAGGACCTCTTAACAACTCTTAGTGCTAGATTCGAACACCCGAAGGAAGTTGTTCTGAGAGTTGGGAGGTGGAGGGGTGGATATATGTGTAGATTTGCAGTCTAGAGGGACTGGGCGCAGTGGCTCACGCCTGTAATCCCAGCACTTTGGGAGGCCGAGCTGGGCGGATCACCTGAGGTCAGGAGTTCGAGACCAGCCTGGCCAACATGGTGAAACCCTGTCTCTACTAAAAAAACAAAAATTAGCCAGGCACCTGTAATCCCAGCTACTTGGGAGGCTGAGGCAGGAGAATCACTTGAAACTGGGAGGCGGAGGTTGCAGTGAGCCGAGACCCTGCCATTGCACTCCAGCCTGGGCAACAAGAGTGAAACTCCGTCTCAGTAAATAAATAAATAAATAAATAAAGTTTAGAACTTCCAGTCAGTGTTTTAGAAAGGGTCTCCTTACCCCATTGTTAGTAGCGAAACCAGAGATTTTTCTCTTTTTCTGCCCTTCACTCCTGTGTCCTTTTCCCAGTCACGGAGGATCTGTCACTTCCATTGCTGTGGAGTTGGGAAGTGTGGGTGCTAGGGAGTGGAGAAGCTATGCCGGCGACTGGGGAAAATTTTCATGGGATTCCTCCATGGGTCTTCAAGTACTTTCTACTAACTCACTCTATTACGTTGTAGTCACCTGAGACCCTTTTTGAGTAAAGGATGAGTAAAGAAAAATAACCCCCCATCTTTACAGGTGTCCACCCTTTCACACTCACTATTTTATTGATTCTCCACTGACCCTGTGAAGTCGGGGCTTCTGGTTAGATGTTGGGGTACAGGGGCTGTTGATATAGATGTGGCAGGAGGTATAATGAGCCTGGGAATGGAAGTCAGGAGATGAGGTGCTACACCCAACTCTGCTGCTTGCTGGCCACATGACCTGGGACAGGTGACTCGATCTCCCAGCCCTCAGTTCCTAATTATTCAAAGAAGACCCCAAACTTGGAGATACTTTGTAAGCTGTTAAAGGCTCCCCAGCAGGTGGGGGTTTATGGCAGTGGATACTAGGCCACTTCACACTCCATTTAAATGCTGCTCCCTATGAAGGGGCTGAGGGTCTTCCTCCTGGCCCTGCCTCCACTTGGAATGACCAGGCAGGGCAGGGCATGGGAAGTGTGCCCAGGAGGGAGGTGGGAGAAAGGTCTGCCCATTGCCACCCCCCTTCCCCGTGCCTGGCTCCCAATGGCAACCTGAGCCCTTGGCCTCCCAAGCCAATCCTGGAATGTAAACCCCAAGCAAAGCACATTCTTTAGCCGGGTCACCAGCTCCTGGCCCTTGGCAAGGAAAGGCAGGAGCCAGCATTTCTCTTGGCCCCAAATAACGGTAGCACAATCTGGTACTGAGGGGCTATTACTACAAGGCTGGGTTAATCAGCTGGTTCTCACCCACAGCTCATAAAAAGCTCAGGTCTGACCTAGCACCCCTGTGAGCGCCCACAGTCAAGGGGAGAGGGAACTCAATCCCTAAGCAGAGGGAGTTGAAATATTGCTTATTTCCTGGATCTGGTTCCTTGTGTCAGTTGCAGGCCATAGAGGAACTCAGAGGGAAAGGGAGCACCCTAAAGATTCCCTCAACGCTGGTGCTGCCTCTGGACTCTTTGATTTCTAGCTTTTATTCAACAGTTGTGTGCTACATATTTAGATATCGCATGCCAGGCACTCTGTGTGATGCCCTGGGCCTATAAGAGTTAATAATATCATTACAGTCCTGAGAAGTACCTTAAAAGTTTTGTGTGCATGGGGATGAGGTGGGGTGAGGAGACAGTGGATTCGCCAGGTACACCATTGAGGGGGCATTCCGGGCAGAGGGGACAGGCTGCTTAGGATAGGGAGTCAAGGAGCAGCTGGACGCATTCAGGGAGTACTGGGCAGAGGTAAGAAGAGGAGGTGGGAAGGGTGGGACTTCATGAAGATCCTTAGAGGGAGGCTGCTTACGCTTCACAAGGATATGGTCGGATACGTAGACAAGAAGAACAGAGGGAGTCTAGCAGCCATGTGGAGGGTGTCTGGTGGGGAGCCTGAAGGTAGGGGAAGTGAAGTTGGGAGGCTACTGAAACTGTCCTCTCAAGGGACGGTGACGGTCTGGACTAAGCTAGTGGCTGTGTGAGGGAGAGAAGAGTGAAGATAAGGAGGTCACCTGCCACCCAGGGTTGAGCTGGCTGCCCCGAGGCACCGGGAGCGAAGGTCTGGGGTGGAGTAAGATGAATTTGGAAGGGAAGCTCCAGTCCAGTCTCCTTCTACAGATGGAACAGGGGAGCCTGGGAAAGGGATTTGTAAATTACTGTTCCCTTACAAATGTTTGGTGTTGAGACTATGAATTGCTAGGCTGTGATTAGGACCAAGGCCCATTTTCTGTTGAATGGCAGGCAGAGTGCCCCGAGGTCCTGTGTCGTCCTTCAGGTAAGGAGGGCAGGGTGGGCCACCGTGAGATGGTGCATGGGGCCATGGAAGTTCCCAGCCCTGCTTGCACAGCCATGTGCTCCCTTCCAAGGCTAAGCAGGGGAGGAGCCCCGACAGCCCAGTGAGAAGCCAAGCAGAGCAGAAGGCCAGCAGCTGGCACCCTGGAGCTCCTTCCTGTCCCACTGTCCATGCTGCAGGTACGCTGAAGGGAGGAGGATAGATTTCTCCCCAACCACCTGGAAACCCATCAACTCTGAAATGTCACTTCAGGCACCAAGTGTTCAGATGAGTCTCTGGCCTCCAGCTCTCATCCCATGGACCCTCCTAGTCATCTGTTTCCTTTTTGGAGGGGGGCAGTGGCTGAGGGATCATGCATGAAAAAAAGAAACTGTCTCAAGAGCCAGGAGAGTCCAGTCTGGCTAAATTAGGAACTGGGACTTCCCCTCACTAGGATCTTTCCCAGTTCTTCCCCTCAGAGAGCCATCCAGTCATTTACTCGACACAGGTTTATCAAGTGCTGGTTCTGTGCCAGGCACAGGAGGTGCTAAGCATGTGAGGGTAAGTGAGGAAGACCGGGTTCCCTGCTTCATGGAGCTCAGGAGCTCTTGTGGAAGTCACAGGACTTCTTGAGTCTCCATTTCCTCACCTGTAAAACACCTCACCATCTTTAGAAGGGTGCAGAAGATTCCCCTAGCCATGATGGCAAACTGCAGCTTGGGGTTCCAGAGGGAAGGGTGAGGCCTGGGTAACGTTGCAGCCACTCACCCCCAAATTAAAGGACTCCGAGCCTGGATGCCTGCTCAGAATGTGAGTCTGGGAATGTGAGTGTGTGAGTGTAAGAGCAAAAATATGTGCATGAACATGTGTGTAGAAGCGCATATGGGTGTGTGTGTGAACGTGTAAGAGTGTAAGGTGTGTTATTTGAGGCGTACAAATGAGGATAAGTGTGTAAGGCATGTGTGGATTTGAGGGGTAAGAGTACAAGGAGAGTGTGAAGCATGAATGTGAGGTGTGCGTGTGAGCATGAATCATCCTGTGAATGTAAATATGTGAGTGTTTCCATAAGGTGAGTGTGTAAGAGTGGGCGGTTTGTGGTATAAGCATGTGTGAGTGTATTTGTGGGATGTGTGAGAGCGTGTGTGTGAGCATGAGTGAATGTGCAAGCATGAGAGTAAGAAAGAAGGGGGAGAGTGTGGAGAGAGAGAGAGTGTGTGTGTGTGTGTGTGTGTGTGTGTGTGTGTGTGTGTGTGTGTTGGGGCAGGCAGGTCCAGGGTGTGCTGGCTGGAGTTGCGGGAAGCTCATCTGGTATGAAATAGCAGCTGCACAGGATCTGCAAAGAGCTCACTCTTGGAAAGAAGTTCACTTTGCCCTCTGTGCGGCGATGGTGGGTTCTTGGTGCTCTGCTTTGTGGAGGGGACAGGCTGTTCAGGACAGGGAGTCGAGGAGCAGCTGGACGTATTCAGGGAGCACTGGGCAGAGGTAAGAAGGGGAGGTGGGAAGGGTGGGACTTCACGAAGATCCTTAGAGGGAGGCTGCTTACGCTCCACAAGGATATGGTCGGATCTGTAGACAGGGCCTCTGGGGGTTCTTTGAGCCAAGTACCTGCCTGGGGAGCTCAAAATGAATGGAGTATTTGGGAAACAGCCCATAATTAAACCATTAAAATAAAAAGGATCATACCATGGGGGAGCACGCAAACTCTAAAGACATTTTGCAGCTAACTGGCCCTTCCCCTTCCCCCAGGGATTGTCTCTCCCTCCTCTGTCACCACTTGCCCTGTGGGTAGAGAGGGGTGAGGTCTGAGAGGAACAGCCAGAACAGCTCCATCACACTTAGGCTGACCTGCCCCAAACCCTTCCTCCTGAGGCATTAACCCTCCAACTCAAGGTTTGCACAGACTCCAACGTGCCTTCTGAAGTCTCTTCACACCACTCCCCCAAAGGCCCCTTTGTTCAGTGTGCTTGGCACCTCAAGTCTCCCTTCCCTGCAGGCCCAGTTATAACAGTGGGCTCCTGTAGGGAGCCTTCCCAGAGGCGCTCAGTCCCTGGGGGGTTCTTGCTCTTCCCATCTTGCTCATCCATCCATTACATTGAGTTTTGAGTTGAATTACACCCCCAAAAAGATATGTTGAAGTTTTAACCCCTGGTACCTGTGAATGTGACTTTATTTGGAAACAGGGTCTTTGCAGACATAGTCGAGTTCAAATGAGGTCATACTGGATTAGGACAGGCCTTAATCCAATGACTGGTGTCCTTATAAGGTCACGTGAAAATAGAGGCAGAGATTGGAGTTGTGCCGCCATAAGCCAAGCAACACCAAAGATTACCAGCAAATACCAGGAGCTAGGAGGAAGCGCGGAAGAATCCTGCCCTCCCCACCCCCATCCCAAGAGCCTTCCAAGAGAGCACAGCCCTTCTGACACCTTGGCTTCAGACTTCTAGCCGCCAGAATTGTGACACAATCCGTTTCTGTTTTAAGTCACCTACTTGTGGTATTTTTGTTAGAGCAGGTCTAGGGAACTAATACATATGGTCATTTTGATCCGCCCAGCTTGCCTGGGTCCTTCTGTGTGCCCTCCTCATCAGCTCTCACCTGGCTCCTGCCTTGTGTTGTACTTCTGCAGGTGTTTTATCCTGACATGAAGCTCCTGCCCTCACTCATGTTTGATCTCACTCAGACTACAACCTGAGCTCTCTCTCAAGCTGGAGGCCTTTGGCTCAAAGCTTTGGGCATGTTCTGTAGGTCACATGGTGGCATGGATGGATGGATACACTGACCTCCCTTGCTATTGCCCTTACCGTAGAGCTTAGAGACAGCAGCAGGTGACGGGGGAGGGACGCTGTACACTGAGCTGGGTTAGATTTTCATTCCTATCACTTATTAGCTGTGCCACCTAGGTTAGTCACAGGATTCCCAGTTCTCAGTTTCTTCTTCTGTAAAATGGGGATTGGAAAAGGCTAACTGTACCCTACCTCCCATGCAGGAGCTTTGCAGCTCATAAAGTCCAGTGCAAATGCAAGAGATTAGTAGAAAACAATCCTGGGGAAAGAGAAGTGATGGAGGGCATGGACTGGTCCACTCTCCTGCAGTTCTGGGGTCTCCTGGCCCTCTCTGATTGCCCAGTAGATGGGCCAGCCTTCCGCAAGAGAAGGCCTAAAAAGCTTGGTCTGCACATTGTCCCAGGATTCCAACCCCAGCTGGGGTTCCTTCTGATTTTTTTTTTTTTTTGAGATGGAGTTTCACTCTTGTCACCCAGGCTGGAGTGCAGGGGCACAATCTCAGCTCACTGCAACCTCTGCTTCCCAGGTTCAAGCAATTCTCCTGCCTCAGCCTCCCGAGTAGCTGGGACTACAGGTGCCTGCTACCATGCCCGGCTAATTTTTTTTTGTATTTTTATTAGAGACAAGGTTTCACCAGACGAGGTTGGCCAGGCTGGTCTCGAACTCCTGACCTCAGGTGATCCACCTGCCTCAGCCTCCCAAAGTGCTGGGATTACAGGCATGAGCCACCATGCTCGGCTGTTCCTTCTGATCTTAGATGATGTCTTAGTGATTTCACTTACTTTCTATTCCTTAGAAAAAGAACTCAGAATATCCCATGCTAGGGATGTACATGTCTACATCCCTACAGAGGTACAATTCTGGTCACACTGCTCTTACCCTTAAAACCCTTAATTTATCCTAACTTCCCACATGCATAAACTCCAGACTCAACAAGACATATAGTAAGGCCTTTCTTGGTCTGCCTGCCTGCATTTCGAGGCCCATCTTCCCACATCCTCCCCCTACATTCTCCACTACATGTTTTCCCCCAAATAAGCCAAACCCTTTCCCTCAGTGGGCTTGAGAACACCTCTACCTCTCCTTCAACAACAATGAAATAATAATGCAGCTACTCACTGAACACACATACATCACTTTACATATAGCAGGTAGCTCTTAGCCTCATAAGTGAGGCCTTATTTTGCACATTTTACAAATAAGAAAACTGGGACTCAGAGAGGTTAAGTAATGTACCCAAGATCAATTAGTACATGACAATCGTGATTTGAACCCATCTTTCTTGCTGCAAAGCCTGTGATCATCCTCCTCTGCCGGGCTGGTCTCCCTCTTCTTTCTTTTTTCTCTTTCTTTCTTCTTCTTTTTTTTTTTTTTTTGAGACAGAGTTTCTCTCTTGTTGCCCAGGCTGGAGTGCAATGGCACAATCTCAGCTCACTGCAATCTCCACCTCCCGGGTTTAAGTGATTCTCCTGCCTCAGCCTCCCGAGTAGCTGAGATTACAGGCATGCACCACCATGCCTGGCTAATTTTGCATTTTTAGTAGAGACAGGATTTCTCCATGTTGGTCAGGCTGGTCTCGAACTCCCGACCTCAGGTGATCCGCCCGCCTCGGCCTCCCAAAGTGCTGGGATTACAGGCATGAGCCCCCGCACCTGGCTTCCCTCTTCTTTCAAAGTGCAGTTTGAGATTTATTTCCTGGAAACCTGCACTGAACTCTTCATCTCAGCTCTCTGCAACCACCCTGAGTGGGGTGCCTGTGAGTTGCACTAGCAAAGGCTGACACTGATCAAACAGTAACGGCAGCCATGGTCCCCTGTCTTCCTCCCAAGATGTAACTGCTATAGGGCAGGAATCTAGCACCATGCCAGGCACAGAATAGGTGTTAAATGTTAAATAATGGAATGAAAAAGTTAGAAGGGAATTTTCGGGGGAGTATACATTTAGGAATAATCTATGCCCATTTCACATGAGGAAACCCTTCTCACCCATTCCTTGCGAATACTCACACTCATTCCTTAGGAAACAATCTCAATCCTTCTAGATTTTGAGACATTTTGAACTTCCTACATAGTATAGCGCAGTTGATTTTCTTTCCTTTCCTGGTGCTATTTCACGTGAGGCAATGCAGTGCTGTGGTCACAAGTTTTGGGATCAGACCTGGTTCAGTCACTTACGAGTTTGTGACCCTGGAGCCCCAGTTTTCTCATCTGCAAGATGGGAGGATACTACCTACCTCATGGAGTTGATCTGAGGGTTGAAAGAAGTACCTTACCACCTGTGAGACAGCATTATGATTGCTGTTGTGTAGGTTGGGAAATGAAGACAGGAAAGGTGAGGAGCCTTCCCACAGTGGAAAGGGGACGGGAAAGCCTATGGGGGTTGGGGAGCGAGACCTGGGCCAGGCCATCTTATCCCAGATCCTGTGCTGCCTCTGCAGCACCATGAGGTACAGGACCACATGGCTTAACAGACATTCAGTATTTCCCTCATTCCTCAGTGAGGCACCCCTAAAGTCTTTCCAGAATGGACTTCCAAGGGGTGAGTTCTCAGCAGATACCAGCTCCAGCCCGGAGTTGCCCTCACAGGGTCCAGCAGCTAATTCAACCTTTTAGAGCTCTCTGTACTCCCAAGGTTCCGTCTGACCATTCAAAAATGGCTCATTGTCTGGGAATGGTGGCTGAGGCTTGTAATCTAGCACTTTGGGAGTCCGAGGCAGGAGGATTGCTTGAGTCTAGGGCCAGTTACTTGGGAGGCTGGGGTGGGAGGATTGCTTGAGCCCAGGCGGAGAGTGCAGTGAACCCTGATCGCACCACTGCACTCCAGCCTGGGCAACAGAGCAAGACCCTGTCTCAAAAAAAAAAAAGCTCAGCCCTATCCATGCATATGGGACCACTTTGTGTGCTTGGAAATGCCCCCTCCCATAAGGCTTGGGTTTCTCTTGCAAGGGGTGGAGGCACTCCAGTTGCTAAACACCTTTCTTGGGTAGGGGATTGAGGAGACAGGATGCCTTTGGAAGAGCATCCCCTAATGCACAGTTCCATCATCCCTTATAGTATCTGCAGCTCCTCCAGCTCCTGTTTCTATCTGTTACTTCAGGGGCTGAACTCAAATATAGGGATCCAGAAGCAGCAGGGGAGGCCTCTCTGCAGTCTCCTCACTAGGGGGCAGCAGCGGCTACGGGAGGCCTCCCAGCCCTGGGAGGGGGAAGGGAAATGCTGGGCCAGCAGGTGGCAGTGCCCTTCTTGGACCCAAGTAAGGAAAAAGTCCAAGTACCCAGAGAAAGGGAGGGGAAAAAAATCCGTATCCTGTAAAGACCCAGGTTCCACTTGTCCTTGAAGATCCCGCTGAAGGTGTCACACTCCCTCCCTCCAGGAGGCTCCCTGGACCCCTCAGATCCAGATAGGTGATCCTCCTCCATTCCTGCCTCCTGGAGAAAGAATTACACTATCACCTGATGAGTGATACCTGACTCCTCCAGAACCCTTCAGGGCAGGCATTTTATTCATCATTTATTTTAAAAATAACTGGGAGTCAGAAACAGATGCTAAGAGGAGGCACATTCTTCAAGTTTTCTAAAAGAACCCTTTCTACTTTGGATAGGACAAAAATGAGCTTTGGCTGAATGAACTGAGACTAGACATAAGAAGGACTGAGCTGCTGATGAGTTATGAATGGAAGACTAACACGCAGTCTCAAGGCAGGAGAAGAAGAACATGTGCTGTTTTCCTGGGAGTGGGGCAACTGGTGGTGGCTGTGAGAAGGCAGAGCTCTTCAGAGGGGACAGCCAAGAACAGGTAGTCACTGGGGGCCCTATTTAGCCTGAGAATGCAGGAGGGATTGTTTTATGGGGTCCTCCCTGCCCCTCAAGACACCCTTCCGCCCCATCCCCACACCAGGGTGCTAGAGAAGATAGGAATATAGATTTTAATCATTGTGCTGCTGCTATTAACCAGAGTGCAATTAATCCATCTTTTGTGGATTTTGATGCCACAGTGTAAATGAGAGGGTTTCACACAGAAACACTCTGGGGGCCTTCGGTGACAAAAGGGCTAGGCCTCTGGTGGGGAGGGGGTGGCAAAAGGTGAAGTGGAATTAGGAGAGATGTGGGGAGCAGACCCAGGGCTGGGAGACTGCTCCTTCCCCATCACACATGCCCATCAAGGACCCCAAGAGGAAGGGATTCTTCCTGCCATGGCCTGGGCTGTCCAAGTGAGCCTGACTTCCCTTCCAAGGCAGCTGCCTCTAGCTTCATGTCCAATTCTCGCTGAGTAGATGAGGTCCAGGGTAGGCCCACAGTTGACCACCAAATGGTGAAGAGATATAAGCCAAGGGAGAAGAAAGTGGTTTGGAACCCCCAATCATTCTCCATTTTTCATCCTAAGCTACCTTAAAACTAGTTCAGAGCTGGGGAAAGACAGCAACAGCAGTCTATCCTCTCGGTCAGAACTGCTCTACCTGCCTCCTGGAGATGGGGGTGGGGGGAGGTGGGACTCACAGGAGGGAGAGGTAGGAAATATTCCTGTGCCTTTCTTTGCCTGTGCAGTAAGTGAAGACTCTCTTCAGAGTCAGCTCTGCAGCTGGTGGAGTCATCTGTGCCTCTTACAGTTTTCTGAGATTGGTAGGATTTGGAGCTATAGAGAGGTCAACTTAGAGCCCCAAGGCCAGACTCCACTGGTTGCTAACAGGAGCTGACATTCTTGGAAGTAGCCCCGACTGCTTGGACAAGATCATTCCTCATGTTAAGAGTGAAGTGATATGGTCCAGGGCAAAGGTACTGAGCCCAGAGACAGCTAGGAGTCAGAGACACACAGGGCCTCCACTGCGTCACTCAGACCCTGGTTGACACCTCCCACGGCGAGGAGGCAGTTCTTGACGACTATGCTGGAGCAGGCACAGCGGGGTGTGGGCATGGCAGGGAGGATCTCCCATTTGTTCTTCCCTGGGTGGAATGCTTCCGCCGTCTCCAGGACAGTGGGTTGATTCCCTGAAAGTGTCAAGGGAATCAGACCTTACAAAGGAGTCCAACCACCAATCCATGCCCCACGGTCACCCCACCTCCCTCCCTTCGGCACCCACAAGCAGAAGCCAAGCAAGGTCAACTTCCTTGGCTACAGGATTACTCCCTTTACTAAGCCAGTGGCTTTTGTCAAGCAGCCACTTTGTCCCTCCTACCGTCTTCCTGTCTCTTTAAGAGTAAGCTTTCTTTCCCTACCCATTGCTTTTTACCAGAGCTTTCTAGCACACTACTGCCTCACTGCTGCCCTTTCCTAAAAAAGCTACTGACATGGTCTAGTTGACACGGTTCCTTCATGCCTGAGTAAAGTGGGAGTTTGTCCACACTAAGTAGACTTGGGGTACCTGGAAGCCCTGCTGCCTGGATCTCTCTTCCTTGATGATGGGGAACTTCTCGCTTTAGAGTCCCTCCTTCAAAATACTAGTAATCTCTGGCAGAGTTAATACATCAAACCCAAGATTCATCTGTTGAACTTATTTAATCAGATTGCTTTCCTGTTCCACGATTGGGCTGGAACAGGATAAGAGACTGGTCAGAGGAGGACCAAGGCTAATCCCCTCCACAGTTTGTCTCCAGTCATTCCCGTTTAGGGATCTGTGCTCAGTAAGCCTGTGCTGCACGGCTACGGGTGTCCCTTATTCTCTCTGCGTCACAGTTTCCCTGTGTAGGAGGACAGAAAGGCCACACCTGGGGCCCACAGTGGATAGGTAATATCTAGGCTGGAAGAAAGGGAGTGCTTCGAATTTTTTGGAGTATAGTGGTAGGCAGGTGGTCTGCAGGGAGTCAGTACCCTTTCCTGCATATGCAAAGTGCCAAGGATCCACTGAGCACCAGAACCACAATAAATTCCAGCGTGAAAGCGCCATCCTTACCAAGTCCCCCAGCCACTATGACCCGTCCACTCAGAGAGCCAGCCACAAAATCTGCCCGCCGCTTCTTGAGGAAGAACGATCGTTCCATCTTCAGCCATCCCCCTATAGGCCATGGATAATGGTGGGTTATATAGACAGAATAAGATACAGACCACTCCCACCAAATGCAGATTGTGGCCCAAATAGCTTTCACCCTGGGCAGTGTCTTCACTCTATTTATCCTTTATGCTTGGGGAGTACACAGTTCCTCCTGCTGTTTCAAATTCTCTGTGGCTTCCCCCTCTCCCATGCTTGCTGCTCTGTAAGGCATCATCATCCCCTACAATGAATCACCTTGACTTCTGGTTAGGAGGCTAATAGAGGCAGTGAGGGAGGAGTCAGGATCCTTCTGTTTCTCCATCAGTAAAAAGTAAGAAAAATCCCTCTCTGACCTGGTCCTGTGTGAATATTGTAAGAAAAGACAATATAGGTAGAAAAGGGGCTTTGATAAAAACCAACCAAGCAAAAAGGGGACCTATACCAATGAAGGAATTTGATTCCAAGAGTAGCCCTGAGTGGAGAGGGGTGCTGAGACTTCTGAGAAGCTTGCCCAGCTGGGTAAACGGCCCTGGAAGATGGCTGGAATAGGGGTAAGGGATGGGGAGCCAGCCAGAAGGGCAGTGGGCAGCCAGAGCTTCCTGGGGAAGGTGACCAGCTCACCCTGTTCCATGTCGAACACGTCCATCGTCCGCAGGAACTTGGGCTGCCGGTAGAGGCGACCTTGCCGCAGGCCTCCTAGGCTGTACAAGTGGTTGTCCAGGGTCACAAAGCTGGAGAAGGCCCGCTTATAGGGAATGTTGGGAAACTTGGTCCAGGAGCGAGTCTCGATGTCAAAGACCTCGAAAGCGTTGACCGCGTACTTGGACTGTCGTCCCCCTGGGGGCCAGAGCAGGATAGAGGTTGGGCAGAAGGGTTGTCCCTGAGGACAGCGACAGTGAAAAGGGTTTCCCCTTTTGACAGTTACTCATTCATACAGGAAGCTCCCGGTGGGCTGGGCAGTGTGATTATCCCCAGTGCCGAGGAGATGCTCAGCACACAGGCACTGCTTCCTATGGGAACTGAGCCAAGGGAAGGAAGGAGGGTAGGTATAGAACAGTAACCTGTCCTTACCCAGCACGTAGATCTTGGAGCCTCGGAGGAAGGAGGTGGCAGCATATCTCGGGGTGGGCATGGGTGCTAGGGACACCCACATGTCCTTCAGCATGTCATAGTGTTGGAGGTGGTTGTGTGGACGTAGGTCCAGGCCCATCCCGCCTGCCGCATATACTCGGTAATCTAAGAAGAAAGGCCATACATGCCCCTGGCTTAGCTCACAGGTACAGCAAGACAGGCCCACCAGCATCTATTGCCTCCCATGGCCAGGCCAAGCTTTCAACCACTGCTCAGCCAGAGTGAGTCATATCTGTATCAGTGTGGTTGATAGCACCATTCAAAGAAGTTCCTGCTATAGCTAAGCCTGAGAGTCTGTTTCTTTTTTTTTATTTTTATTATTATTATTTTTTTAGATATGGTCTCATTCTGTCATCCAGGCTGGAGTGTGGCATAATCATGGTTCACTGCAACCTTGACCTCCTGGGCTCAAGAGATCTTCCCATCTCAGCCTCCCAAGTAGCTGGGACTACAGGTCCATGCCACCACACCTGACTAATTTTTGTATTTTTTGTAGAGACAGGGTTTTGTCATGTTGCCCAGGCTGGTCTCGAACTCCGGGGCTCAAGCAATCCTCTTGCCTCGACCTTCCAAAGTGCTGGGATTGCAGGTGTGAGCGACTGTGCCCAGCTGCCTGGGTCTTTTGAAGCCATGGTACGACTACACGCCCTAGTCTTCCTTAGTGTCCAGCCCTTTGGCTAAGCCTGAAACACTGCGTGAAGTTTAGGCCTGGAAAACCCTTTGCAGGTCTTATCCCCTTCACTGTCCTCCCTGGGCAGCCAGAGGGGAAGCCAAAGAGGAGAGGTATTCTTTTTTTTTTGAGACAGAGTCTTGTTTTGTTGCCCAGGCTGGAGTGCAATGGTGTGATCTCAGCTCACTGCAACCTCTGCCTCTCGGGTTCAAGCGATTCTCCTGCCTCAGCCTCCAGAGTAGCTGGGATTACAGATGCCTGCCACCACACCTGGTATTTTTAGTAGAGACGGGGTTTCACCGTGTTGGCCAGGCTGGTCTCAAACTCCTGACCTCAGGTGATCCACCTGCCTTGGCCTCCCAAAGTGTTGAGAATACAGGCATGAGCCACCACGCCTGGCTTCAATGAGTAGAGATATTCTTCTGATGCCCTTTCCCCAGGCATTCACAAACTGGCATTTTTAGATATGGCAGGGGCCTTTAGAAATAAGATGAGTCATGCTGTCACTGGCCTATGGGACACTGGACTGCTGCTGGTTCTGTGTCTGCCAGCCCCATTGGGGAATGCCATCTTCCTTCACAAATTGGGAAACTTGTGGGATCCAGGAGTCACTTCAACTAAATGAGATAGGGCTAGGGGTGAATGAGGGTGAAGCTTTGGAGAGAGTACTGGTCCCTTTAAGAAACCCTGCCCAGGAAGTGAGCTGGGATACTTTGAGAAGTGAGTCTCCTCTCATTCTCTACTACTCTTGACTGTAGGTGGCCTTTCAAAGGACTTCACTACACCAGAGAGGATGGGCAAGGCATCTGTGTTTCCCTGGGTCCCACCCCAGGACCTCCCAGGCCTCTCTTTCTCAGGGAGCCACCCCTGCCCGGGATTCTGTCTGCCAGCAGCCAGTCCTCAATGCTTCTGGCTCCAGGAGGCCTTTATTCTTAAGGTGATTGTAGGGATGAGTACTATTTCCTCCTACTTTCCAATCTTATTGGAAAAAAAAAAAATGCCAACCCTAGCCTGAGGCTGGAAGACGGTGCCTGCTAATGAGGAATTCACCTTGCACAAGATCCACCCCTCCCATCCTGTGTTACTTGAAACTCCTCCTCCTGGGAATCCTCCCATCCACTCCTCACTACTGTTTTTGTGCCCAATTCTTACTCATCCTTTCAGACCCATCTGGGCGTCCCTGAACTACAAGCCTGGGTCGACAGCACCGGCTCAGTGCCTTCTGTTACCCTATTCCATCACCCTAATTGCCACCTGTTACTGAATAATCTTTGTTTCTTTTTCTTTTTTTTTTTGATACGGAGTCTTGCTCTGTCACCCAGGCTGGAGTGCAGTGGCGCGATCTCGGCTCACTGCAAGCTCTGCCTCCCAGGTTCACGCCATTCTCCTGCCTCAGCCTCCCGAGTAGCTGGGACTACAGGCGCCCGCCACTGTGCCAGGCTAATTTTTTATATTTTTAGTAGAGACGGGTTTCACCATGTTAGC
The DNA here is from genome assembly GCF_000001405.40 of Homo sapiens. Classification (NCBI taxonomy): domain Eukaryota; kingdom Metazoa; phylum Chordata; class Mammalia; order Primates; family Hominidae; genus Homo; species Homo sapiens. The sequence continues at coordinate 205,341,859 of NC_000001.11, forward strand.
TGGGATGGTCTTGATCTCCTGACCTCATGATCCGCCCGCCTCAGCCTCCCAAAATGCTGGGATTACAGGCGTGAGCCACCGCGCCCGGCCAATCTTTGTTTCTTTCAATAGACTGTAGGCCGTTGAGAATTTGTTAAATCTACAGCCCCAGCATCTGGCACAATGCCTGGCACACAGGCATGTAAATGCTTATTAAACTAACTGCAGAACCCATTCAGTGCCATAGTAAGAGCACAGACTCAATCATCACTATCTGTGTCACCTTGGGCCAGTGTTTTAACTAACTCTTTGGGCCTTACACTGCTTCTCTCTAAAATCAGAGTAATACTAGCACTTACCTGTATACAAAGCACAAATGGTAAGGATTCAATGAATGTTAGTTCTTAATCTTTCAAGACCATTTACTGAGGCCTGGGATGAAGATGTGCTCTTTCCCTCCCTTGCTCTCCGTGGGCCTCCAGGCCTTCCATCCTTCTTACTGGGAGGTCACAGAAGCCCCACTGGCCATGCTGCCCTGGGGGATTCTGCACTAGAGTTTCTCTCTAGTTACTTTCATTGGTCAGATCCAGGCTCCTGAAGGCAGGGAACAGATCTTCCGCCTCTTTCCTTCCCTCCTGGAGCCTGGCACTGTGCTGGGGACAGAGCAGGTGCTCAAGAAATACTGGTTCCCAATCTATAGTAGACTTGACATGCAGCTAGTATGGTTTAGCAAAAGAGGGAGGGAGGAAGAGGAGACGGAGGGAAGGTTGCATCCCACTGCAAGCCTGTGCTGCTCAGGTGTGTCTGAACTTGGTGTCTCCTAATTCCCATTGAACCATCTCCCACAAAACCCTTTGTGTTTTAGCAAAAGAGCTTTCGGAGCTCTAGGTTCTGGGCTGTACTAGGCGTGAAAAGAATGAAATGGGGGCTTTGAGAAAGGAAAATGAGAATCACAAAACCATGTAGTGAGGACATGCATGCCCTGAGGACTTAGTGAAACGCGGCCAGACATGAACCCTCAGGAACATTCTGGTCTCCACTGAGCGTCTCTGAGATTGGGAGGCAGAGGGGCAGGTTGAAGGTGGAAGAGGCCCCTGGAATCAGGTCCCAAAGCCCTCTCAGTGGGGCCTGGTGACGCTACAAGGATGGAGTGAGCATTGTCAGGACCCCAAATAGGTGTCTGGGGGTGGTGGCACCTGCAAGGCAAGGCAGGTTTCAGGGGCTGGGGTGTGGCGGCGGGAGGTGCAGGCATTTTGCTGAACGCATGGGGTCTGCAGAAATATGGCACTAAACTCCACAGCCCACAGCAAATGCCTGTTGGTTTCCATCTGTTTCCCTCCTGGCCCCCCACTTCCTTCTCTCTGGCCGCCCTCAGCCCTGGCCCCACTTGCCTTTGGCCGTGACAGAAATGCCCATGGCGGCCTCACGCAGCATGCTCCTCTTCTTCCACTTGCCCTCATCGATGTTGTACATCTCCACGACCTTCAGGGGCAGCTGATTGGTGCCCACGCCCCCAATCACCATGATCCGCTTCCCCAGGGCGGTGACGGCCACCCCCGCCCGGGCTGTGGGCAGCCGGGGCAAGGCGGTCCACTGGTCGGCCTCCGGGGAGTAGACCTCGAAGCAGTCCATGGGGACGCCGTTGTCGTCACATCCCCCGATGGCATAGACCTGGCCCCCGGTCTCCAGCAGGGAGCAGTAGACCCGGCGGCTGGGCAGTGGCGCCAGGCGCTTCCACTGGAAGTCCTTGACGTTAGGCACCTCCATGGCAGCCTTGGGGAGCGCCCGGGCGCCGGGAGAGGTGCGAGCGCGGGGGTCCACCGGCTACTTGGCGCCGGCTCCCACGGCCCCTATCGCCACCTCCATCTGGCTCCCGAGCGCCGGACCCAGCCAGACCCCGGCCAGTGCTTCACCGTGCCCCGAGTCTCAGCGGTCCGGCGGCGTCCACGCCTGGCCCTGCGGGGGGAACGCGGTGAATCAAGGGCAGCTGGGGCCACGCGCCCTCCGGCGGGCAGCGGATGGGCTCCGCAGCCCCTGGTCAACTTCACTGGGAAGACGCGGCGGCGGAGGGCGCCCCCCGGGGGCAGCACCACACCCTGCACTGCTTGGTCCCCGCCCCCTCCCCACCCGCTGCTCGGACACTGCCGAAGCAAGCCGCAGGCCGGGGCTTTCAGGGGTTCGGGGTGCCGGGCAGTCCCCGGGCGGAGGAAGGAGTTAGCGTCTCTCGGCGTCGACGCCTCTCTTTCCCCGCGCCCCCTCCCCGCAGTCTCGGCGCCCCCGCCCCCGCATCACTTACGCTGCCAGGCCCGGGGAGCGCGGCGGCGAGGCGCAGACGACGCATCACTGGGGAGCCCGGAGCCCCCGCCCCGCTGCACGGGAGCCGGGGAGAGGGCGCTCTGTCCTTCCCCAGTCCGCGCGCCGCTGTCACACATGCAGATGAGGAGATGAAGTGAACAGCAGGAAGGAGAAGCGGAGCCGCCGCCGGGGAGGAGGCCGGCGAGCCTGCTCCGCTCCGTCCCCATCCGCAGCCACCACACCTGTGCAGGAATCCGCGTGCGTCCCGGGACACAGCGTGCTGTGACCTCTGTACAGAAGCCCCGCCGCGGAAGCGCTCACCTTGTCTACAGGGGGTCAAGGAAAGCAGGGCACTAGAACCAAGCACCCAGATGACGGGCACAGACGCCCTCCGGTGTGGGGGCGGGCTTTTGTGTTTGTTTTGGATGAAGAGGCGGAGAGTCCAATTACCCAGTTTATCTACAGTACACAGACTCAGCTCGTGACCTGCTAACTCAATAGCCAGCTTTGCTGGGGGGAGGTATTATCATATAGTTTAACCTCATGAAAACAACTTATGTGGGTGTGATGCACGCAGACCTGGCACAGGTACTTTCAAATATAACATATACACCCACTTGCACATGGAAGCATAACTTACACATCACCCTGCCGCCGCCCTCGAAATAGACACATCCACAGAGACACTGACCAGTGATGCACAGACAGACATGTGGACACAGCCAGAGACACCAACATAGACAAACACACACGGGAAGTTTTTCCATCTGCCACACACATGCACAACCCACCACCGCCACCATCACCCTTCACGAGCTTCAGGAAGGGGAAACCTGATGATCAAATCTCCGTCCTCGGCACCAACTCGCAGGGCTTGACAAACAATCCTTGCAAGCCACTCTCTAATACCGTTTATAGGACAGTAGTCCCCAGTAACAAAGGTGCCCATGAGGCCAGAGAACCAACCACCTGGTCTGGTGGACTGCAAGGCCGATGGGATCTTCCTCCTACCTGGTTCTTTCAAATGTAGCCAAGTCTTGAAACACGCAGGCTTGGGAGGCTGGAAGACCTGGGTTTGAATCTTGCCTCTGAAAATTACTTAACTACTCTGAACCTCAGTTTCTTATACAGATAGATAGATCTATGTCTATATATTTTTAAACTAGAGTTTTAATTTTGAGAAAATTTTAGATTCACATGCAGCTGTAAGAAAAAATACCCTTTACCCAGTTTCTCCCAATGGCAACATCTTACAAAACTATAGCACAGTATATATCACAACCAGGGTTTTGAAATTGATCGGTAAAGATACAATATAATTCTGGCCGGGTGCGGTGGCTCATACTTGTAATCCAGGCACTTTGGGAGTCCCAAGCAGGCAGATCACTTGAGGTCAGGAGTTCCAGACCAGCCTGGCCAACATGGTGAAGCCCCATCTCTACTAAGAATGCAAAAAAAATTAGCCAGGCATGGTGGCATGCACCTGTAGTCCCAAATACTCGGGAGGCTGAGGCAGGAGGTTCACCTGAGCCTGGGAGGCGGAGATTGCAGTGAGCTGAGATTGCGCCACTGCACTCCAGCCTGGGTGACAGAGCAAGACTCTGTCTCAAAAACAAAACAAAACAGAACAAACCTTCCACCCCCAAAAGTATAAAATCGAGGCCGGATTTGGTGGCTCATGCCTGTAATCCCAGCACTTTGGATGGCCGAGGTACGTGGATCACCTGAGGTCAGGAATTCGAGACCAGCCTGGCCAACATGGTGAAATCTCATCACTACTAAAAATGCAAAATTAGCTGGGTGCCGTGATGCATGCCTGTAATCCCAACTACTCAGAAGGCAGAGGCAGGAGAATCACTTGAACGCGGGAAGCGGAGGTTTCAGCAAGCTGAGATTGCACCATTGCACTCCATCCAACGGGCCCATCTTACTACTTTGAGTTCTTGGCTTAAAAATTCCACTGTTTTTTAGTTCGAATTCTCTGTACTTACAAAGTAAGCACCTCTAGAACCTTCACAGAGGAAGTCTGTGTCTGTTTTCCCTATTCAATCAGAACTCATAAATTCCAAAAGCATGGGGTGTGAATTCATGAAATTTCACGGAAACACCAAACATTTCCCTTTCTTCCTAGGAGTCTCTATCTGCCTGGAGAAATAGGGAACGCACCTTTACCTCAGCTTGAACTGTCTTCACAAAATCAGAACAGGTGATCGGGAAGATTTAAAGCCATAGACCTTCCTTAAAAGCGCTTGTTGGAGTCCATCCTTAGCTTCTCTTACCCACTGAGCCTTCTACCAAAGCAGTGAGGCCAGGCCTCTTAAATGAGCCTTCACCACCCCAGCTGGGGCAGCTTAATAAGCAGATAGACAGAGCTCCACTCTGTATGTTTTATTTGTGTCACTTGTTGAGATCATCTAAGCCCTTGCACGTCCATTTTCTTGTAATCTTAAAACAGCCCTGGGAGGGGTTCAGGGGTAGGTATCAATATCCACTTTTTGCAGTTGAGGAATCTGAGCCTTAATGAGATGAAGTGACTTACTTAGGACCATGCAGGCCGTTCAGAGTGGGTCCAAGGTATGAATTCCAAATCCAGTGCTCCTTTACTTTATCACAATTAAATCACAAATTAAAGAATTGTGCCTTATGAAGGAAACCAAGTGGGTCCACTCTCCACCTGGCTTCTGGTCTTTATTCCACTGCAGTGAAGAAAGGAGCCCAGGCCACCAAGGAGATTCCAGCGGCTGCCCATACTGTTTGTGCCAGGCAGTGCAGGTAAGGAAGTGCTGGAATCCAGCCCCAGAATAGGCCCCCATTCTAAACTAAGGCTCATATCCTACAGGCACCATCTTCTATGCAGACCGTGAGATCTAGGGACTCAGACCCTTGGAAAAGTACTAACAACAGGATGTCTTCCAGACCATGACCTAATTGCTTGTTCTGGAAGTCCTGGCTTCTCTCCATCTCCCCCATCTCTCTTCCTCTCCGCCAGGTAACATCCTTTAGCGCTTACACTGAGTGCACATCGAGGAAGCTTGTAACCTAGCAACTGCCACTTAAGATTCCCTGAGTCATCTGTAGTTTCCATTGCCTGGGTTGAGTGCACCAAGATGGGGCCTTAAGGAGTGCTAATCGGAGGGAGAGTGTCCAGTGACTCCTTGGTCCCTCCCTACCCTATTCTAGTGTGTAACCATTTTCCTGGTCAGAAAGTTCTTCCTCATGTCAAATCTAAATCCTTCTTGCTCTAAAATCTTGCGTAACATTAAGCCGGTGTTTCTCTTTTGCCTTAAAAAGCATTTGAGTTTTTACGCTGGATGTGGTGGCTTGTGCCTGTCATCCCAGCACTTTGGGAGGCCGAGGCAGGTGATTACATGAGTCCAGGAGTTCGAGACTAGCCTCAAAAACATAGTGAGACCCTGTCTCTGCAAAAAATAAACAAAAATTATCTGAGCTTCGTGGCACATAATCCTAGCTACTAGGGAGGCTGAGGTGGGAGGATCACTTGAGCCCAGGGGGTAGAGGCTTCAGTGAAACAAGATCGTGCCACTGCACTCCAGCCCAGGTGACACAGCAAGACCCTGTCTCTCTAAAAAAAAAGTGTTTCATTTTTCCCCTTCATTACAAGGTAGGAGTGGGAGGTTGGGGAATTAAGGGAGGGAAAAGTCATAAAAGCCTCTAAAGATTACATCTTTGGTGCTGTGGAGTCTTTATTATAGATATTGGTGCATCAATCAAACTTGAGGATGCTCAGCCCCAGAAAAAAGTCACTCAGTACGTTTTGGGTTTTGTTTCTTTTTAAAAAGATGGGGTCTTGCTATATTGCCCAAGCTGGATTTGAACTCCTGAGGTCAAGTCATCTTCTTGCCTCAGCCTCCTGAGTAGCAGGGATTACAGGCATGCACCACCTTGACAGGCTCAGTAAGTCTTGGATTTGTTAAGGTCTAATTTACATACAATGAAATGCACAGTTTTACTCAGTCTCTATTGTCTGGTAGGCATTCAGCAGGATCCTGCCTTCACTAAACTGCGGTACCTTAGGGGGAAGTTGGGGGTGTTGTGGGGAACAGTTTCTTCCCAATAAACCAAGCAGATTCTCAGTGTGGCAGGCCATGGATGGAGTAACTGTGGGAAGGGTTTCAACGTCTGCTGGAATTCCAAGTGTAGGGAACATTTCAGGGGGATAGGAGGGAAGAGGAGTTGTTTAGTGATTAGCTGCTCCTTATCCCTCCCCAGAAATACTCTTTACCGGAGTGCCCTCTGCAGGGTACCACGCTGGCTGGAGGCACACACCAGGAACTCCCCGAGGCCAGGATCACCTTCTTTATGCAGTTTTCTTTCTGCAGCACCCCACAGACCATGTGGTCAGCATCAGACAGGCTGCATCTGAATCCTGGTGCAGCCACCTCCTAGCTGTGTGATTATGCACCAGTCACTTATGTCCTTGAATCTGAGTGTCCTCATCTGTGAAAAAGGGAATAAGCAAATCTACTTTCTAGAGTTGTAGGAGGAAGGAGATGCCAGGCATAGTTCCTGGGCACGTGGTAAGTACCTCATAAAGACTAGTTTCTTTCTTCCCCTTGTGATGGCAAGTTTCTGTACCTCTGACTTTCAGGCTAGTGTGCCCCCCAAGAGCAGGTGCCAGTTTCACAAGATAGGCAGCCTTACCAGGGCCCATACCCTCCTGTAGCCAATCACTTCTGGGCCTGTGTCTTAGACAGGATATCTTTTCTCCTAGCTAGCTGAAATCTCATCTGCTGCAACCTAAATTGCATTCTAATCTGGAGAACAGCTGTGCCCTTCCTTTAGCTAATCACCTTCTCATTCCTAACCAGAAGCATGGTCCTTATTCAGGGAGTGGGGAGTGAGGCTGACTCATCCAATTAGGACTGAGGCTGCCAGCAGACCAAGGAAAGGGTAGTTCCTCCCCCAGCATAGAGAAGCCTCATTAGGGCCTCCTCCCCACCAGTCCCAACATCAGCCCAGAGGAAGGATTTAGAGCTCACGTGGACTTGATGGGAGATGGTATGACACAGTTGCCAGCAGTCAGAACCAGGATCTGTATGTGATCATGTGGCACTGCTGCCTTGCAGGTGGAGGGCTGGAGTCCCGCAGAATGGCCTCAGTTATTCAGGTTCCCTTCCTGACCACGCAGCCTTGATTGGACAGTTGAATCAGCCACATTCCTTCAGCTATCCTCCCTGCTCCCTCCCACTCCAGTGCATAGCTGGTGCCTGGAACCTAGAGGGCCTTAGTGGGTATCCATTAACGAATGCATCTGTTCATCTGTAAGCAACTTCCTGCCTACTTAGGTAAAACTGGGACATTGGAAAGTGGACCCCAGATATGGGATGATGGGTAAAGGGAGGGAGTCATCTTCGTTTTCAGACTCAGGAGTTGCACAATGTAGAGAAGGAAGGGTTGGGAAGCCACACGCTCCTCTGCTGTTTAGTGCGTGCGGGAAGGTATGCTTCTCAAAGACCTCAGCTACTTCCCTGTGCTTACTGAGGAAATCGTAAGAGGAAATGGGGCTTACAATAAAGCCTGAGGATTTGAGTTATAAACAAGGAAGAATTTCCTGACCAGCAATGTCAGAAACCTGAAACACCAGCATGAGGTGAGGTGAGAGGCCACGGAGCTGCCTCCTGTATTGCCGCCCGGGCCATACTAGAAAAACACAGGACAGTCAGAAGACCTCTGCTACGTCTTGTTACGATGAAGGCTATGACCTCCAGCCTACGTTTTGTTGTAACCGGGCTGTGCAACTATGGGCAAGTCATATCCATTCTGGTGCCTGTCAAATTAGAAGGAAGGAAGGTGAAGAAGAGAGCAGCTGGGGTCCCTCCCAGCTGGAGTATTCTGTACTCTTGGGGTGCTATACAGGCGGGGAGCCCTAGAGAAAGAAGCATTTAGCCATAGTGACAAAGCAGCAGATTCTAGAACGAACACCCTCACATTCTGCCAGGTGATACGATCGCAGAGGTCTGGCCCCACCAGCTCTCACAAGCGCTGCCAGCTACCCCAGGTCCAGTCACCAGTGAAGACTTTATCAGGGCTTCCCCTGGCTACCCTCTCTTGCTACCACCACCCTCCTTTCTCTCCAATCAGCCCAGGACAAGGGGGTGCCTTGTGACAGCTGCAGCTGTGGCGAATGGGCTGGCTCCCTATAGACCTTGGGCACCCACCTGCTTCCTGTTGGGTTCTGACCTTTCTGGGGTGCCTGCTGCCAGGAGAGTATGCAAGGGTGGCAGAGGATGCAAGAGCTCAGGTCATCCCGACATGGCTCTTTCTCTAAAAGTGAAAACGTGCCCATTTGTCCCAGGTCACCAGGCTGGGGCCCTTAGGGGGCCTAATCTTCACCCCTTCTCAAGTAGAGGACAGCAGAGCCTTTATGAGGGCAGCTCTGCAGAGGAGAAAAGGCTATAGGCTGGGGAAGGCTGCAGCAGACCACTCAGACACGGCTCTTTAAATGCCCATTAGTAAGTTAATATTGCCCCTTCCAAAGTCAGCAGCATCCTCCATTCTTCTTAATTAAAAAGAGCTCCACGTCCTGGCAGAGCTGAGAGACGGCTCTGAATGATTTACACACCAGCCCTGCTGCTTCCAGCTGGGAAATCAGCAAGGAAGATTGATTGGCAGATGGGCCAGCCTGCCTATCATGATGGCGTGCGTGCCTGTGTGTGCATGTGTGTGTGTGCATGCATGTGTGTGCGCGCACGCATGTGTGTGTGCATGTGTGTGTGTGTGCTGAGGCACTGGGAGCTGGCTCTCCTTCTGGCAGGCTCTAAATGAGCAGGGCCACAGACCCACAGTCCAGCCCCATGGGGCTCTGCAGGCCTAGAGGTAGAGGGCCTGCTAGAAACAGAAGGCTAAACAAAAGGCTGGCCTGCTCACCCTCACCGGAGTCCCTCTTCCTAGGAAAACTGCCTTATTTGGAAGACAAAAGCTCATTTGTTGTCTCATCCCCACCCAGGAGAGAAGGGTCCACTCCCCGAAGATTCCTCTTGTTTCCACATAGAGATTCCTCACCTGGTACATAGCATATATTGGGCTTTTATTTGATCATCACTGCTCACTTTAAGAGCAGGCTTTCGATCTGTGAGCCCGCGGAGTATACACCATGAGCAAAGCTCACCCTCCCGAGCTGAAAAAATTTATGGACAAGAAGTTATCATTGAAATTAAATGGTGGCAGACATGTCCAAGGAATATTGCGGGGATTTGATCCCTTTATGAACCTTGTGATAGATGAATGTGTGGAAATGGCGACTAGTGGACAACAGAACAATATTGGAATGGTGGTAATATGAGGAAATAGTATCATCATGTTAGAAGCCTTGGAATGAGTATAAATAATGGCTGGTCAGCAGAGAAACCCATGCTCTCTCTCCATAGGTCCTGTTTTACTATGATGTAAAAATTAGGTCATGTACATTTTCATATTAGACTTTTTGTTAAATAAACTTCTGTAATAGTCAAAAAAAAAAAAAAAAAAAAGAGGAGGCTTTCTTGGCTGGGCGTAGTGGCTCATGCCTGTAATCCTATCACTTTGGGAGGCTGAGGCGGGCGGATCACCTGAGGTCGGGAGTTTGAGACCAGCCTGATCAACATGGAGAAACCCCGTCTCTACTAAAAATACAAAAATTAGCCAGGGATGGTGGCGCATGCCTGTAATCCCAGCTACTTGGGAGGCTGAGGCAGGAGAATCACTTGAACCTGGGAGGTGGAGGTTGCGGTGAGCTGAGATGGTGCCATTGCACTCCAGCCTGGGCAACAAGGGCGAAACTCCGTCTCAAAAAAAAAAAAAGGAGGTTTTCTCATGGCCTGCCTCTCCTTCCTTGCCTCCCTCCTAACTCCAAATTTTGTCTGACTCTGACATCCAGGGGGATCCAAGGCTGTGGGCCCTTTATGGGGCTGGGAAGAGGATGATGAGGTTCACAGTTTAGGCTGTTTAGGCTGGCATGACACTCAGCCCGGGCCCTCCAGAGAGCCGGGAAGTGACAGCAGTCACCCTGAAAGGTCCCAGGCCTCTTTGCTTCTCCCAGCAGGCCTTGAGGCAGCCTTGTTGTCCATCCCATGCCTCTACTCACTTCTAAGAGCCCACCAGCCTCCCTGGGTGCCAGAGAGGGAGGTCCCGCTCACTCTCCAGATGGAAGGAGGTGCCAGGTCACTGGGGCAGGACCTGTACAGAGGTAGGGAGTGGCTTTTGCTCTCTCCTCACCTCTCCCCTTCTCCTCTGGCACTTTACATTACACACACACACACACATACACACACCCCTTGTTCCCAGAGAAAGGACCAGACAGAGGCACACTGGAGAGGAGGGGGTGGGGACTGGAGCCCAGGCATCATCCAGTGCTTTGCTTTCACCCCCGCTCCCTAGGGAGACGGCAATCTGCTGCAGCAGCAAGGTTGCCATCTGGCGTGCTGACCTGTGCTCTCTGTGCTGGAGACGGGAGAGGGCGGGGACGCGTGATGAGCTGGCTGCGAGTGTGTTGTGTATATGTGTGTCTAAGAAGCCATGAGAGTCTGGAAAGGTGAGAACCAGGCCAAGCTTTGGGTGAATCAAAGGATCTGCCTGTCCTCATCACTCGGCACTCCTGGGGCAGGTGGGTGTGTACCTGAGGATCTCTAAGGAGCCCCAGGAAGCCTGCATTTCTCTCCCAGTGAAGGAGGGAGTGGCAGGGCCTTGGCCCTTGAGCATCCTCCTGTAGCCTGTCGCCAGGAGAATGTGGCTGCCTGCTTAGCACCCAGGAGCTGCCAGTCCATCCCTGCACATCACTAGGCAAGAAACAGAGGGACAATTTTATTCACACCCAGACCTAACAGCTGCCCCCCACGAGGAACCACCACTAGGGATCCAGTGTGTCCTTTGTTCCTCTCTAGTCCTGGCCCAGAAAGGACTATTTTCTTCCTTGGATGCCATCTCCCTGCTTTGGTCCCAGTCTTGGGAATTATGTTCTGAGAGATTCCTTGATAAAAATCCTCCCTAAATCACAGGTTGTACCTCAGTGCAGGGGTCAGCAAGCTATGCCTGAGGGCCAACCCTGGCCTGCTGCCTGTTTCTGTATGGCCTGAAATCTAAGAACAATTTTTACATTTTTAAATGATTGGGGAAAAAAAATCAAAAGAAAAATATTTTGGGATACATGAAAGTGATATGAAATTCACATTTCAGCATCTATAAATAAAGTTATATTGGAACACAGCCACACTCACTCATTTACGTGTTGTCTATGGCGGCTTTCCCACTACAACAGCAGAATGGAGTAGTTGCAACAGAGAGCGCATGGCCCGCAAAGCATAAAATGTTTACTATCTGGCCCTTTACAGAAAATGCTTGTGCCCTCCCCTGCACCTTAGGCTGTTTTAAGGGAACAAGGGGAATGCCACCTTATTCTTTTTATTTTTTGTTTTCTTGTTTGTGTGATACAAGGTCTCACTCTGTCACCCAGGCTGGAGTGCAGTGGCACCATCGTGGCTCACTGCAGCCTCCCGGGCCCAATCAATCCTCCCGCCTCAGTCTCCTGAGTAGCTGGGACTATAGACACGCACCACTCCCAGCTTGCCACCTTATTCTTGACAACGTGCTTCACACCACCGTGGCAATGTTAAGTTGACACGGCAATATCTAGTGGCAATAAAAGGAAACAAACATTTTGAGGGCCCTTGTTGTATACCAGGGACATTTACTCTGTTTATCACATAATCTCTACAACAACCTTGAGAGAAACAAGCACTAAGAGGTCTATTTACATAAGGAAGGAATGGGAGAGATTAGGAAACTCACCAAAGCTATTAGAGTTAGGCAGAACAGGATGCTGGATTCAAACTCAGATCTGCCTAACCCCACAGCCCATATCCTCTTCAGGCCACCATGATTCTAAGATGACCACCAGCAGCCCAGCGAGGACCCACTCAAATGGCTGCTGGTTTGGGCTACCCCCATGAACAGGCAGGGCAATTGGGACTTAGGCTTTAGGGATCCAGGCCCCACCTCAGCTCGCTCCACCTCAGAGCCTGGTCCTGAGCATGGGCCACAGACAAGCCAACAATAGTGACAGCTCCACATCAGCGCCATCTCCCTTTTCTTGCCTCTTTCCTCAACCTTTGCTATCTATTTTCATCACCTTTTAGCTTTCTTTGGAAAGATTAAATTTGCATTTAAATAGAAAACCTCTTGAATGACTCTGATGTAACTTTAGGTACTAATTACAAATTCATTCCTCTTTAAATATTAAGGCACTTCAGTTCATCTCAGGGGTGATGGACAGCAGCAATGCTTGGTATTGATGTGTAATGAATATTGAGCTGTTTATTGCAAAGCGCTTACAATCCCTCACCAGCAGAGGGCAGACAGGAGATGTTCTCAAGACCTATATGGGAGATGTCTTGGGAGCCTAAAATCTGCTAAAAATAAATATCTGTAAGCAGTAATCCTTGAGAGAAATTGGAAGATGGCCAGTGGGATGGAAGCTGCTGGGGGTAGGGTGGGAGCACCCAGAAGTCCTCGGGTTGCCAGTTTCCTCAGTTGCTTATAAGTGTCTCAAGGCAGGTGCATTCATCACTCTTTCCCATCACCAAAACTAATGCCTGGCATTCAATGGGGACCCAAGGAATATTTACTGAATGAATGAGGGAATGAATGAATGAATGGATGAATAAGGCAATTAATCATGATGGGAGAGATCATTCATTCAACTACTATAATGAGTCAGGCATTGCACTTGATAATTTACGTAAGTCTCTTTGTTAAATGATTGATTCCTTTGGATATTTCCCAGGGTCATGAAGATGACGCACAAATTCTCCTTTCTCCTGAAGAATTGCACTTGGTATTTTACCTGCTGATTTCATAGGTGACAAAACAAACTCAGAGAGGTGAAGCAATTAGCCTCAGAGCACCCAGTTCAATCTGAAGCTCAGCCAGGACCCAAACGCTGGTCTCAGGCTCTGAGCCTGGCTCTCTATAAAGTGTATCACTCCCCCTCATCCTGGTGCTAGGCTGGTTATTCCAGTGTTCACAGTGTCACACCCTAATCTTGGCCCTTGTCCTCAAGATGCTGGGAGCCCAAAGTCCAGTCCAGCCTCTCAGCCAGGCTTAATGCCTGGGCTCCAGCCAAACCACTCTATTGCCTGATGCCCAATAGGCCTTTCATTTCCTGCCTCCATACTTGGCTTTGTGCTTTCTGCTTCACATGCTCCTTCCTGCTTGTTGACATTCTATTCATCCTTCAGGGCTTGGCCTGAATGCCGCCTCCTCCACGCCTTGCATGATCCCTGCAGGCAAGAGTCATTTTTCCCGTTTCTATAGAACTTCATCTATAACTATGTTAGCATGATAATAACCACCACTCATTATTCTAAACACCACACTACATTCTTTACATATTTTGTATAATTTGAACCTCATAAAAAGTCAATAATAACAATAATAATCATCTTTAACAAGTATATGGTGCTCAATATGCGTCATGAACTGATCAGAGTTTGGTGTGTGTGTGAGTTGTGTGTGTGTATAATTTAGCCTATAAAGTAGGTACTATTATTATTGTCATTGTACAAAGGTGAAAACTTAGACTTAGAGAGGTTAAATGACTTGCCCAAGGTCACACAGCCAGAACAGGGATGTGACATCTAGCTTGCCTGGCCCCGGAATCCCCATACCTGTCTATGTAGATATTCTTTCTTACCAGATGGTAAGCATCGGAAGGCAGGAACCATGTTATGTGCCATTGCTGTCAAAGCACTTTCCCTTCGGAGCCAAGCACAGCAATGTGTATGTACATAGTAGGTAGTCCATAAGTTTTAAAAATCTTAATTTTAGACCCAGGGGCATGTGCGCAGGTTTGTCACAAGGGTGTATTTCGTGTTGCTGTGGTTTGGGTTTCTATTGATCCCGTCACCTGTATAGTGAACACAGTAACCTAATAGGAAGTTTCTCAGCCCTTGTCCCCCTCCCCCCCTCCCTCCTTTTTGAGTTCCCAGTGTCTATTGTTCCCATCTTGATGTCCATCTGCATCCAGGGTTTACCTCCCACGTTTGTAAGTGAGAATATGCAATATTTGGTTTTCTGTTTGATATTCCATAAAGTTGAGCTGAATTCGGATCAGAAGCCAGAAGTTCTGGAGGTTGGCTGTATGTTGGTCAGTCTGTGCCCTGGACAGCAATCTTTGGAGTTAATTAGCTGGGTTAAAACCAGATGGGAAGGAACCTTTAACTTCAAAGCTAGAGAGGCCCAGCTGAGGAGAAAAGGCCCTTGGAGACCCTTGTCCCTCCTGACCCCCATGCCAGCCTGTCTACCTGGGCAGCCCTCCTCTCACAGACACCACTGCCTGTCTCCCCACCAGCAGGCCCTCAGAATGCCAAGGCATCACTCTGCATAGATGGATTGAAATAAAACTTACCTGACTGGAGGGAAAAGGATCGACACCCGGCGATCATCTGCAAAAGACAAAGAAGGGGAGGGGCCGGGAGAGGGTCGAGCGGGTGTTGGCTCTGAGGCTTGTCCTAGGAGCTGGCTGGGAATAGAGTCGGCAAGGTCCCCAGGGTCCCCAGGGCTTCCTCCACAATTGATGAGTCCACTGCTGCTGCCTCTGGCTGATCGACTGGGATGCAGCCAGGCCCCTATGCACAGGGCATGGGGCCAGCCCCGCCCTGAATGCACAGAAACTTGGGGTCCCTGAGTTCCAGGAGGCGTGACCCCCCTACTGAGAGGGCCTCAGCCAGCTCGTCAGAGCCCCAGTGTCTCCGCGCCTCTCCCTCCACCCAGTCTCAGCTGCAAAGGCCCGCTCTGCGAGGAGAGCGGGTGAGGGGGCGGACACGCTCACACACACAGACAATAACTGCCATGGAAACTAACCAACAAAAAGAAGATTTAGGGAGCCGGACTCCTCTGCCAGATGGGAGAGAATGGAGGGAAGAGAGAAAGGGGCTGTCCTTTGCAACGCTGCCAGTTATGCAAAGGGCAAATGTGCACCTCAGCCCTAATCCAACAATTGCAGATTTTTCCCTCCTCAGGGGTGGGGCTGTGGGTAAAAGGCAGAGAAGTGGGTTGACCTTTTTATATGAAGGTCCCAAACAGCCACCCCATACCTTTGCCTTTCTATGCACAGAGGAGGCATCAGTGTGGTCCAGCGTGGGTGCGAGATTCCCAAGGAAATGCTCAGCACCGCTGGCAAAGCGAAACTCGTTCCACAAAGCAACGTGTTTTACCAGGTCAAGCTGAACCTCAGGGGAATTTGATCACTTTACTTGGGCAGAAGGCTTGAAGGACTTTCTTAGATGAAAAGCCCACTGTTTAATGGGTAGCAAAACAAGGCTTTTCTTCAAGACCAACCTTTCTATCCATGATGTTAAATCTGACTGCCCGTAGTTTAAAGAAAGCCGGGGATGGAGTGGGGGCTAGCATCGATATGGCTTTCCTTCCGATGGCCTTTAGTTTTGTTTGGGGAGATTTTTCTCTCTGGGATAAAAGAAAATCTAATGAGGGAACTTAAAAAAAATTCTCTGGAGGTACTGTAAGGGAAATAAGGTAATCTGAGCACCAGAAATCCTGCTCTAACTCTTTAGCTGTGTGACCTTTGGCAAGTTTCTTCGTCTGTAAAATGGGACCAATGGGGTTGTAGAGAGGATTAAATGAGGTAATATGTGTAACGTGCTTAGAACAGTACCTGGCTCATAGTATTTGCCATTGTTATGGCTATTGTTGTTAATCTTTCTGATCCTCCCTTTCCTCAGCTATAAAATGGAGCCAGTGACACCAATCTCTCATGGATTAAGTGTGAGGATGAATCATGTCGTTATAACTGATGGAGTGGTGGTTATAAGGGTGTATACATTTGTCAAAAACCATCAAACTGTGGGTTTTATTGTGTGTAATTTATACCTCAACTTTTTAAAATATAGGTTTATATCACCAGGTAAAGCAGCCATGAGTGTCTAGAACATAGGAAATATTTATTCCCTTCTTCCTCCCTAGCCATCTTTTCAGGAAGAGAGGAAAGAGAAAGTGAATGTTAGAAGAAAGAAGTAAAATAGAGAATTGCTGGGTGCAGTAGCTCATGCCCATAATCCCAGCACTTTGGGAGGCCAAGGTAGGAGGATCATTTGAGACTAGTCTGGGCAACATGGCAAAACCCCACCTCTACAGGAAATACAAAACTTAGCCGGGTATGGTGGTGTTTACCTGTGGTCCCAGGTAGTTGGGAGGCTGAGGTGGGAGGATCATTTGAGCCTGAGGAAGTCGAGGCTGCAGTGAACTGAGATCATGCCACTGCATTCCAGTCTGGGTGACAGAGTAAGACCCTGTCTCAAAAAAAAAAAAAAAAAAAGTGAAAAGGAGCATTGCATAAGAAAGAGGCCATATTGATTTTGTAGGTAATGGGCTATCTGTTGAGACTCAGTTATTCTGGCTATTTCCTGAGTCTTGAATATCAATCTGTCACCTGCAAAGGCAATACCTGGGTAAATGAGTTGCCTTTCTTAACCCTCTCCTAATTTCATATCCTAGTATAAGAAAGTGAACTGCACTGCAGGGTGCTTCCTACTCCTGTTCTGGAAGCCTTTTCATCACTATTACTTCTCCACCACAACTATCCCTTTGTCTCCCAGATGCCCTGCTGGGCTGCACTTTGGTTCCTGAACAAGGTGGCCTGGGGACCATTGGCTGCAAGGTGTCACACCTAATGAAGTGTTGGCCAGGGCAGACTGCTGTCCATCAGAACAGCCCATGATGAACTGAGTTAGATATACCTGGAGGAGACTGCTACAACCTAATTAAAGAGGAATTGTGTGTGTATGTGTGTGTGTGTGTGAAGGGACTGGGAGGATGGAGAATAGTATGTAATTAAGAATCAAGTAAAAGTAATCCCTGGAGATAGACTACAGACCTCAAGCTGACAGCTTGCCTGAACCATAACTGCTTGGGTGATAGTGGAGATTGGAGTCATGCTGCCAAGTGGTCCCAAACCAAAGGGAAGCTTGCTGTTTGTCTCTGTTTGTTCTATGGGGTGAAGTCTATAAATAAATAAATAAGATATTTCACATCCGAGAACAATTTAAACTCAATTTGTAAATATCCATTCTAAGCAAATATGGATGGGCGATGGCTCTTCTATTTTGTTTGGGATTACAAGACTGAAAAAGAGGCAAATGTGGCCAGGCGCGGTGGCTCAAGCCTGTAATCCCAGCACTTTGGGAGGCCGAGGCGGGCAGATCACGAGGTCAGGAGATCGAGACCATCCTGGCTAACACAGTGAAACTCCGTCTCTACTAAAGATACAAAAAAAAAATTAGCTGGGCTTGGTGGCGGGCGCCTGTAGTCCCAGCTGCTTGGGAGGCTGAGGCAGGAGAATGGCGTGAACCCGGGAGGCAGAGCTTGCAGTGAGCCCAGATCGCGCCACTGCACTCCAGCCTGGGCAACAGAGTGAGACTCTGTCTCAAAAAAAAAAAAAAAAAAAAGAAAGAAAGAAAGAAAGAAAAAGAGGCAAATGCAAAGATGGTGATGAAGAGGCTTCAAAGATGAAATCCTTTCAGGATCATGGCTCTCATCCCTCCAGAAATGTTTATATCTAGGGACAGGGAAGAAAGGAGGATGAGTTCAGATTGTGATAACTAAGATAATCACTAAGATGATTGTAGCCCTACATTACAATTCTCAATGTCAAACCCTGGAGATGAAGAGGTCTAACATTTAGCCCAGAACCTTTCCAGTGATGAAAACAAACAACGACTCTTTTGGCATTGGTCTGATATTCAGTGACAGAATAAAGTTTGTTCCAGCCGAAATTAGCAGGCTAGGGTCCAGGTTAAAATGCAAACAAAGAAAGCAGCCCAGAGGCAGCTGGGATTCTGGGACACAGATAAGTCACAAAGCTGGGTTTATCTGCAGGGTTCAGGATTGATCAGCTCAGCGTATATTTCCAAGGCTCTTCTCTACTCAGCCACCCCTCCCAGCTCAAAAAACAAGAGGCCCACACCAAAATATAAAAAGGTGCTGGATCTAAAATCCTGCCTAATTTAAGCTCTGCTCACAAAGGAGGCCAGAGAGCAGAGGGAGGGGTGGAAATCAAATAAGTAAATGTCAGCCCTGCAGTTGGGTAGAAGCCATTAGCCAGGCAGAGCATCCAATTAGAAGCCATTGAATTAGAGCAGTGAAAGAAGGGCCTCACGTCAGAGGGCACTGCGGGGAGGGCCGGCACAAGTGGGCAGGAAGGAACGCGGGGTGGCGATCAATGGAGGATTACCGGAAGATGTGCAAATGGCAGGAACAGATGCCTTCCAAATGACAGGGCACCCGGTCCAGATACTCTACATAAAATGCCCACATGGTTCCTTTGTCCTCCCCCAAATCCTGTCTGAGGGAGTCCAGCCATCTCATGGGCTATTTTGGAAAACACTGCTCCCTTTTGCCTCAACCCAGAGATAAAATGGGCAGCTCTCAGCCACTCTCGGATTAATCTGAACAGACAAAGAAGGGGAGCAAATCCCTTGGCAAATGGTGCCTGGGAGATTTCATTTTTCCGCTTTGCAGTACAAACCTACTCAAACAGATACTAAAATACAAAGCGAAGTTTGTTCACATGGAGATGTTTTTATTTAAAACTATAATATTATTTTATTTTGTAATCAGTAATTGTCAATGCTCAATCTTTTTTTTTTTAACAAATTCTTATTTCCTTGTTCAGAGAAGAAAAAGATTCACATTTCCTTCCTTTCTCCTAAATTAGAAGATTTCAGATTCAGTCTCTTAGAAGCCACGTAATTTGCCTGTGATGCCCATGTCCCACTGATCCTAGAACTTTAGGGAGAAAAGTCCACTGTGAAAATAAAAATAGAAAGTAGTTCTGATTTAGGACAATCGAGTCTTACATATTCATTTAACAACCAGCTAATGGCACCTCCTGAGTACGCAGCATGAGCTGGCAGAGCACATTGGTCTGGTGCTCAGGAAGCTTCCAGGCTCAGGCAGGGTTAAGACACAAGGCTAGCCTCTGCAGAGTGGAAGGAAGCATGTGTTACGGGACACACAATGGGTCTGCTCTTTGCGCTTTGGGAGTGGAGAGGAAGAAGTAATCATAACTATCAGAGGATGCCAGAGAAGACCTTGTGGGAGAGAGGGTCTTTGAGCAGGGCCTTTGAAGAGGTGTCAGATTTGGGTCAAAATGAGTCGGGGGCATTCCAAGAAGATACAGTGCATCGATGTTGCAGACTGGAATGTGGTTGAGACTAACTGTAGGGCTACCAGATACAACAGAGGATGCCCAGTTAAATCTGAATATTTAGGATATCCCAAAAAACGATTTGTTGTTTAAAATTAAGATTTAAGTGAGTATCTTTTACCCACTGTCTATTTTTTACCCCGTCTATTATTCCTAGAAATTTCTCTTTGTTTTTGGTAGAGTTGGGATCTCACTTTGTTGCCCAGGCTGGTCTTGAACTCCTGGACTCGATTGAACCTCCCACCTCAGCCTTCCAAAGTGCTGGGATTACAAGCATGAGCCACCACGCCCGGCCCAACATTTTTATTTCCTGAATCTGGCAACCTCATGACAAGAGCAAATGACCACTCTCATACTTGGAGTTTCCTGCAGCCTGCCCAACTCCAAAGTTGCCTTGTGAGTTCTGAAAGGAACTGGGAATGGCAGCCCTTGCTTGGATGTCATGTCAGAGGACTAGGCACAGTGGTTGACACCTGTAATCCCAGCTCTTGGGAGACTGAGGCAGGAAAATGCTTGAAGCCAGGAGTTTTAGACAAGCCTGGGCACCATAGTGAGACACCTGCAACACCTCCCACCCCCAATCTCTATCAAAAAAAATTAGCCAGGGACAGTTAAATGTGCGTGTAGTCCTAGCTGCTCAGGAGGCTGAGGCAAGAGGATCACTTGAGCCCAGGAGTTCAAGGCTGCAGTGAGCTATGATCACACATCATTGCATTCTAACCTGGGAGATAGAGTGAGACCATGTCTCTTAAAAAAAAAAAAAAAAAAAGAGCGGCGCTTCTCAGAAGGCAGTAGAGAGACCTTGAAAGTTTTTGAGCCAAGAAGTGAAGTGATCAGAGCAGTGTTTGGAATATTAATCTGGCAGCAGCATAAACAGTGTTTAGTCCAGGAGAAGAGTTTCATGATAAGGAGATCACATAGTCTTCCTTTGTGATTATTTGTGGGGCACCCACTATGTGCCAGACACAATGCTAAACACCAGGGGCATGATGGTGAAAAAGAAATGTATAGTTCCTCTCTTAGTGAAGCTTATGAATAAATTAACAAGCAATTGATTTCAATAAAGGGAGGTGCATTTCATCAGAGAAGAACTTGGCCTACTTAGAAGATTATCAAAATAGCCTACTGGTGAGAAGATGAGGACCTAAATTAGGGTCATGGAAATGGGAATGTAAGATGTTTTTGCAAAGCGAGATTTTAGAATATATTCAGGACATGATCAAGTGATTTGACTCTTAATTACAAGCATAGTTGGAGCAGGAGAAAAACAGATCATTAAAATCCAGAGATAACCCCAAATGCCAATTACTCAGGCGTTTCATGCTTCTCTCTCATCCATGGGTTATGACTGTATTTGTGTCTTTATGCACACACAAAACAGTAAAGCATAGTGGTTTCGAGAAAGAGCTTCAAAGACCTAAATGTAAGAGCTAAAACTATACAACTCTCCGGAGAAAACATAAGCATAAATCTTAATGACCTTGGAGTAGGCAATGTTTTCTTAGATATGACAGGAAAGCGCAAGCAACAAAAGGAAAAAATAGATACGTTGTAGCATGTATCAGTACTTTCTTTTTTGCCTAACAATATTTCATTGTATGAATATTCCATGTTTTATTTATCTATTCATCAGTTGACAGGATTTCTTTTAGGGCTGATAAAATGTTCTAAAATTGATTGTGGTGAGGGTTGCACAAATCCATTTGGCAAAAGCCATTGAATTGTACATTTTAAATGGCTGAATTGTGTGGTGTGTGAATTATTTCTCGACAAAGCTGTGTTTCTTTTTAAAGAGCAAAGCCTTGAGCATCAGATAGATATGGGTTCATATCCTAGTTCTCTGCTTGACCCTGAATAAATCAACTTTCTGAGTCTCAGTTTCTTCATCTGTAAAATCGGATTATTATAGTACCTATTTCACAGGACTGTTGAGAGGATTAAATGAAATAATGTGTGTAAAATACTTAGCACAATTCCAGGCATATAAGCTTTATTATTATTTTTTTTATGTTGCCTAGGCTGGTCTCAATCTCCTGGGCTCCAGTGATCCTCCCGCCTTAGCCTCCCAAAGTGCTGAGATTACAGGCGTGAGCCAGCGCACCCAGCCTATAATAAGCTTTTAATTAATGTGACTTATACTAGTAAGGTTGGATGATTAGCAACTTTAGTGTGTGACCACAGACCATCCTTAATTCTAGCACCTTAAGTTATACAAGGGTATTCCCTGAAAACGTCATGGGACTAGGTATACATTTAGGGAAGTAACAGCTGTGCAATCCCACATATCATTTCAAAGCCAAAAAATAGAGTTCTCAGTTGTCAAAACACAATCCTCAGAATTAAAAACCAAAACTAGACGACACTCAGAGTTAAACCAATTCTGGCTTTGATAGCCAAACTCAGTAGGGGGTATTTATATTATCTTCACATCCTTTGAGTGGAATTCTATGAAGATATCTTAGGTAGATATGTGATTGACTAAAAGATGGTATAACCAGGAACAGAGCAGTAAGAAAAAGTTCTGTCATAATTTTCATAGCTTCCACATGTTTATTTTCCATCATCTAAATGTGAACTGTAAAAATTAAATGCTTGTATTTACACAAACAAGTTATACTGTGAAAGCACAGCTGCCTGTGTACATATGAAAAGATTTGTTAACTAGTTTGATTGGAAAATAATGTAAAAAAAATCTTAAGTAGCAACTTTCACAGTTTAAATTTCTTTTATTAATCCTCTTGTCCAACTTAAATGAAGAAAGGCTTACAAGTAAAGAGAAGATAAACAACCAAAGGAGCCCGAATCTCGATAAGAAAGTACCACCTGCATTAATAATAACTACTGAGGTAATAACTGCATATTATTATTATTATTATAATTTTTGAGACAGAGTTTTGCTCTTGTTGCCCAGGCTGGAGTGCAATGGCGCAATCTCGGCTCACTGCAACCTCTGCCTCCTGGGTTCAAGCGATTCTCCTGCCTCAGCCTCCCAAGTAGCTGGGATTACAAGTGTGCACCACCACACCAGGTTAATTTTGTATTTTTAATAGAGACACAGTTTCACTATGTTGGCCAGGCTGGTCTTGAACTCCTGACCTCAAGTGATCTACTCACCTCAGCCTCCCAAAGTGCTGGGATTACAGACTTGAACCACTGCACTTGGCCCATATTATTATTATTATTTGACTAGTCCCCTTTTTTTTTTGAGACGGAGACTCACTCTGTTGCCAAGGCCAGGCTGGAGTGCAATGGTGTGATCTCGGCTCACTGCAACCTCCGCTTCCTGGATTCAAGGGATTGTCCTGCTTCAGCCTCCTGAGTAGCTGGGATTACAGGCATGAGCCACTATACCTGGCTAATTTTTGTATTTTTAGTAGAGACAGGGTTTCGCCATGTTGGTCATGCTGGTTTCGAACTCCTGACCTCAAGTGATCCACCCGCCTTAGCCTTCCAAAGTGCTGGGATTAAAGGCATGAGCCAACATGTCTGGCCTATTTCACTAGTTACTACAAGATGTTTTCTATATATTATTTACTGCCCAAAACTTATGCAAGGGATAAGCCTGTCACCCAGGCTGGATTGCAGTGGCATGATCTCAGCTCACTGTAACCTCTGCCTCCTGAGTTCAAGCAATTCTCTGCCTCAGCCTCCCGAGTAGCTGGGATTACAGGCACCCGCCACCATTCCCTGCTAATTTTTGTATTTTTAGTAGAGACCGGGGTTTCACCATCTTGGCCAGGCTGGTCTTGAATTCCTGACCTCATGATCCACCCACCTCGGCGTCCCAAAGTGCTGAGATTACAGGCATGAGCCACCGTGCCCGGCCGCAAGGGATATATTTTAATCCCCATTTTATTTATTTAGTTTTTGAGATGGGGTCTCACTCTGTTGCCCAGGCTGCAGTGCAGTGGCATGATCTCCGTTCATGCAGGCTTGACCTCCTGAGCTCAAGTGATCCTCCTGCCTCAGCCTCCCCAGTAGCTGGGACTACAGGCATGCATCATCATGCCCGGCTAGTTAAAAAAAATTTTTTTTTTTGAGATAGGGTCTTACTATGTTGCCCAGGCTGACCTCGAACTCTTGGCTCAAGTGATCCTCCTGCCTTGGCCTCCCAAAATGTTGGGATTACAGGTGTGAGCCATGCCTGGTCCCCCCCCATTTTATATAGATAAGAAAGTGGAAGCCTAGAGGTAGTTTTCCAAAATCATAGAAGTATTAAGTGGCAGCACCAGACCCTGAGGCCCCTGAGTCTGATTCCATATAGAAGCTTCTCCTTTTACTACACCACGAGGCCCCAGTAATTCTTGGCCTGATTTGCCAATGAGGAAGAATCTTAGTCATACTCTCACCTTTTGTCTGAGCAAAACTCATTTGAAAATGTTTAACCTTCTCTAAAGTGGTCTTCGTGAAGGCACACTGATGCCTGTGTCTCTCTCCCAGAGATGCTGATGTAATTGGTCGGGGCTGCAGCCTGGGCATCGGAGAGCATTAAAGGGTCCCCAGAAGATTCCGATGGGCAGCCAGGTTGAGAACCATTCACTTAGGGGAATCTGTGCAGTAATGATTCCAAGCCTTTAGCCCAAACCTGCATCGTGAAGGACTCCGAGGAAGTGCCCTGATTCCACTTAGCTTTGGCCAGATCAGATTCACCAGTGAGATGCTGGGCCTTTAAGATAAAGAAGGAAAATGTCCCCTTACCAGGCCTAAGGCATCCTAGCTGACTCTCCTGTTGTAGGCTCCTGTTAGATAAGAAACCCAAACCCGGGGCTCCAAGCCAGCAATCCCAGGGTCAGGCGATTGTTTAACCAGTTTAATTGTTGTGTGAACAAAATGTACCACTGCAGCAGTTTCTGGAATTTGATCTCAGAGGGACCGGCTCTCCTCTCACCTCTGCCTGGTGGCCTGAACAGTAAAGACAGCTGATTAAGCATCCTAGTGCTCTTTCCTCTGGCTCCTGTCTGGTCCTCCAAGAGCAAGGGATGGCTAAGCTCCAAAACACGCTGGGAGAATCGGTGTCATTTCAGGAAATAGACAAGAAAGACATCAAAGGAGAATGACGGGAGTATGATTAGGAGCTGCAGGAGACAAACACCCACGTGGCTTTTCCTCTGGGGTTCTCTATTGTTTGCAAAAACCACAGTATTAAGACACTCTGCCCATTGTGGGGATCATGGAAAAGAAAAGAATTTTAATATTCTGAGTTTTAGTCTTCATGTTAACATAAATCAAAATATAAAATCCATCCTCCCTTTTTCCTTTCAGTATCCACGTATTTTGTTGTTGTTGTTGTTTTGCAATGGAGTCTCATTCTGTCACACAGGCTAGAGTGCAGTGGTGCAATCTCAGCTCACTGCAACCTCTGCCTCCCGGATTCAAGTTCTTCTCGTGTCTCAGACTCCCAAGTAGCTGGGACTACAGGCACAAGCCACCACGCCCAGCTAATTTTTTGTATTTTTAGTAGAGATGGGGTTTTACCATGTTGGCCAGGCTGGTCTTGAACTC
This sequence comes from Homo sapiens, assembly GCF_000001405.40. Classification (NCBI taxonomy): domain Eukaryota; kingdom Metazoa; phylum Chordata; class Mammalia; order Primates; family Hominidae; genus Homo; species Homo sapiens. The sequence goes on from NC_000001.11 coordinate 205,366,850, forward strand.
CTGACCTCAGGTGATCCACCGGCCTCAGCCTCCCAAAGTGCTGGGATTACAGGCATGAGCCACCAGACCTGGCCCCACATATGTATTAATACCTATTTTTAATCTCAAAATAACTGACCCAGAAGCCTCAACCATCCAGAACTAAAATTTATGAACTTTGACTCATGCAGCAAACATTTAGGCCCTCATTTTGAGTCTCTCACATTTCTTTCTGTTTTTTTGGGGAGGGGGCGAGGGGCAGGGTCTCGCTGTGTCGCCTTGGCTGGAGTTCAGTGGCATGTGAATAGCTGGGTCTACCGGCGTAAGCCACCATGACCGGCTAATTCTTTTATTTCATTTGTTGGTAGAGATAGGGTCTCACCTCACCACGTTGCCCAGGCTGGTCTCAAACTCCTGGGCTCATGCAATCCTCTGGCATCTGCCTCTCAAAGTGCTGGGATTACAGGCGTGAGCCACTGCACCTGGTTTATTTCATTTTAATTCTTATTAAAATTATATTTTTAAATGTATCCCAAATATCCTTTATTGATCTCTATTATCTGCCGGCCCTGGGCTGGGCATTAAACAGACTGATAGATAATTAAGACATCGTCCTCATGCCCTAAGAGCTCACAATCTAGTTGAAAGCTACACATCTGCAATTTACCACATGACAAGTCAGACTAGGCCAAGAGACAATAATGACAATAAAAACCCAATCGATTCTCCTAAGTCTGGTTAGAGGATTTCTCCAACCAATAGCAGATTAGAGTCAGAAAATTCACATGCAGGGAAAAACCGTTTGAGATGGCTGACAGCCTGGAAGCAGGGGAAGAAACAAACAAAACCAGCAACTCAGAAACACAACAGCCTGGCACTGGCTAGTGTAGAGGCAAGTGTCTTACAGGTCTCTGTAGTCCCCTGAAGACATCCCTATTTTAATATGGTTGTAAAATAACATCTGTAATAATTACAGCAAGAGTTGTTGCTAGGTGCTGTACTAAGTGCTTCAGGATAGACTATATCCTTTAGTCCTCACAACCACCCTATGAGATTGATGTCGCTCCTCCACTCCAGATGAAAGACCTGTAGCTCAGCCAGGGCCCTCAGTTGCTAGGTGTGGGGTCAGAATTCGAACCCAGGTCTATCTCCCTTTCCACTCCATCCCTGAAATGATGCTCATGGCTATAACTTCAAAAACACTTAAGAGTTGGCAAGGACTGGGCAAGGTGATTCATGCCTGTAATTCCAATACTTGGAGTCCAAGGAGGGAGGATCACTTGAAGCCAGGGGTTTATGACCAGCCTGGGCAACACAGGGAGAACCCAGCTCTACAAAAAATTTAAAATTAGCTGGGTGTGTTGGTGCATGTCTGTAGTCCTAGCTACTCCAGGAAGCTGAGGTGGGTGGATTGCTTGAGTCTGGGAGGTCGAGGCTGCAGTGAGCCATGATCGTGCCACTGCACTCCAGCCTGGGTGACAGAGCGAGAACTTGTCTCAAAAAAAAAAAAAATAGAGTTGGTAGGAATATCATCTAATTCAATGTCCTCAAAGAAAGGTATAAATTTCAGGAAGATTTCCACCAAATATTGCCCCCATAACACTGTCATGTGTAGGGTTTTGTAGAAGCAGAGCCTCAGACAGGGATCCAGGCATATGATTTATTGCAGTAGTCTCTCCGGAAAGACCTACAAGGGTCTGAAAGCGCAAAAGGGGAAGCAGCCAAACAGACCTGTGGTCCCAGGTAAAGTCTAGCCCTGGCCTGATTCACAGTGGATGGGTAGGGTCTTCTGGAGCATAAATAATATTGCAGAATTATCCTCTCTCCACCTTAATGCTTATTTATTTATTTACTTATTTATTTATTTATTTATTGGAGATGGAGTCTCGCTCTGTTGTCCAGCCTGGAGTGCAATGGTGCGATCTTTGCTCACTGCAACCTCCGCCTCCCGGGCTCAAGTGATTTTCCTGCCTTAGCCACCAGAGTAGCTGGGATTACAGGCATCTGCCACCATGCCCAGCTAATTCTTGTATTTTTGGTAGAGATGGGGTTTCACCATGTTGGCCAGGCTGATCTTGAACTCCTGACTTTAGATAATCCACCCGCCTTGGCCTCCCAAAGTGCTGGGATTACAGACATGAGCCACTGCGCCCGGCCAATACTCCCCCTTTTAAAAATCAGGGTCTCACTCTGTCACCCAGGCTGGAGGGCAGTGGCACAATCTTGGCTTACTGCAGCCTCAACTTCCCGGGCTCAAGCAATCCTCCCATCTCAGCCTCTCGAGGAGCTGGGACTACAGGTGTGCATCATGACGCCTGGCTGATTTTGTTTATTTTTTGTAGAGATGAGGTCTCCCTAGGTTGCCCAGGCTAGTCTCAAAGTCCTGACCTCAAGTGATCCTCCTGCCTTGGCCTCTGAAACTGCTGAGATCATAGGCATAAGCTACTGTGCCCAGGCCACATCAGTCCATCCTTTGGCTGTGGGCTGCCAAAGGGTATAAGGGAGTGGGTGGGTATAAGGGAGGAGGAGAGGCAGCACCCATCATCTGAGGACAACTCTCAGGAGGAGAGGGGCACCCATGAGCCATTAGCAGCCAACCCCCATGCTGCAGAGGTGGGTGTGCTGAGCCAGGGAAGAGGATCTGGGTAGAGCACCAAAACCGCATCCATCCAAACACTCAGGACAGGTTCTAATCATCTGTTTATGGCTCTGCTTCCCCCACTATTGGGTAAGCTTCTTGAGGGAGGGGAGAGTGTCTTACTTGTTATATCCCATCTCCTAGCACAGTGCGCAGCACATAGTAGGCTCTCTATACTTGCCAGCAGAATGATAAACAGGAGAAAAATTGTCATGGCTCTCAAACAGGTAAACCGTAGTTGTCTGGGGAAAAGTGCTGATCGAAAGAGGCATTGCTGGGCATAGGGCCACACTGAACCACATGGGTGGTTGGGCAGAAAGACTCACTGAATACAGAGCCTACAGCCTTCCCATAGCCAGCAGAGCAGAATTTCCTGAGAATGCAGATCTGTTTATCTAAGCAGTACTTCTGCTTCCCCACTTAGGGAGAGCATAGCACATCCAAAAGAACCTTTTGATGGCTTCTTACAAGCAAGAGACATCTGCGCTGTCACTGAGAATTAATTGTAGAAAGCCTAGCCTAAGGAAATGCTCAAGTTTCTCCTTTTTGCTACCAGATTTGGTATAAGCAGGCATGGAACTGGCAGATGATTAGTGATATGTTCCCCACACTTCTCCAAATGGCCTACTTTTGCAAACAACGTCCCACCTTTAAATGAAGCTGCTAGCAAATGTGGAATGCTGCCTATGTTATTTTGCCAAGTTGCAGTATCAGGCTTATAAGTGAAATACAGTACAGGCGACCTCTAGAATCTGCATGGCTGCTACTACTCCCATAAAGTATAAAACCCTTGTACTCTAGAAGCTTACATATTGGGATGTATTTTCCACACTTGTCAAAAATCAAGAAAGATGCATGATATCATCTGACTTCTTTTTTTTTTTTGATACAGGACCTTGCTCTTTTGCCCAGGCTGGAGTGCAGTGGCACAATCTCAGCTCACTGCAACCTCTACCTCCCGGGTTCAAGCAATTCTTCTGTCTCAGCCTCCCAAGTAGCTGGGATTACAGGCATGTGCCACCACACCTGGCTAATTTTTGTGTTTTTTTGGTAGAGATGGAGTTTCACCACGTTGGCTAGGCTGGTCTCAAACTCCTGACCTCAAGTGATCCGCCTACCTCTGCCTTCCAAAGTGCTGAGATTACAGGCCTGCACCCGGCCTCATCTGACTTCTGAATATGGTAGTGAGTGTGGACATCAGATGTAGTAAGGAAGCTGGTTTTACACCAGAAATTAAGAGAGCAAAGGCATAGAGTGTGATGGGAGAGGAGGTGAGAACTATTTCACTAGGTCTCCATTGAGAAAACTAAGAAAATAATGATAAGAATTAGTAGAATTCTTGAGGTAAAAGTGAGTTTGGGGCTAGAAAATGCACATGTGTACCCCAGATCTCTGATAGGCTCTGCTAGAATGATGGCAGTGTTGATGCCATTGCACCTGCCTATAGGTGGGTGTACCCTGCCTATGCTGGCATATTCTGGCTGGGCTCCCATAGGTACACAATGTAGAAGGTCAATGGACTTATCCAGATAGTTTGTCTTGGCCAGAACCTGTTATTAAGGGAGATATGTGGGGGTGGGAATGCTGGCAAACAAAGAAGAAAAAAAAGTAGATGCTACAGACTGGTTACCTACAGAGAGGCAGAAAACAGAATCTCACCTGCAGATGTATTTTGTTTGCCCACAGTTTGTTGCTTTTTAAAATTTTGAATTAGTTGCCAATTTAAATAATTAAGACATTTCACATAAATATCCAGAATATTCCCTTCCTCTTGAAAAGTCTGATCACATTCCTGCATGGATGGTTTGGCTGGGCTGGGAGCTACTACCTCCTCTGTACGCTAGGCAAGACCGTGGGCTCACTCATACAAATGGCCTGACCCCCATGGGTGCTTGAATTTGAGACTCCTGATACTTTGGGTGAATGTTGTGGATAGTTGCTTAGTTTATTTTATAATATATATTGTGAAAGGCCAGGCACAGTGGCTCACGCCTATAATCCCAGCACTTTGGGAGGCTGAGGCAGGCGGATCACCTGAGGTCGGGAGTTTGAGACCAGCCTGGCCAACATGGAGAAACCCCATCTCTATTAAAAATACAAAATTAGCCGGGCATGGTGGTGCATGCCTGTAATCCCAGCTACTCAGGAGGCTGAGGCAGGAGAATCACTTGAACCTGGGAAGCGGAGGTTGCGGTGAGCCGAGATCACACCATTGCACTCCAGCCTGGGCAACAAGAGGGAAACTCCGTCTCAAAAAAATAGTGGTAAAATATACATAACAAAATTTACCATTGTAACCATTTTTAAGGGTACAGTTCAGTGGCACTAAGCACATACATGCTGCTGTGCAGCCATCACCACCATCCATCTTAGAACTTTTTTCATTCTCCAAAATGGATATTCTGTACCCATTAAACAGTAACTCCCCATTCCCCACAGTCTCCAGCTCCGGCAACACCATTCTGCTTTCTATCTCTGTGAATCCGACTACTCCAGGTAGCTCATGTAAATGGAATCATACAGTATTTGTCCTTTTCTGACTGGCTTATTTCACTTAACGTAATGTCTTTAAGCTTCCCCATTGCATAGTTTCTGGCTCAGATCATTCTAGTGCTCATTTTACAGATGAGGAAGCTGAGGCCCCACGGGAGCCTGCCAGGGCAGAGGTAGAATTGGATCCTGGATCTTCTGCTTAGGACACTCTCCCTAACGTTGCCCCGTTGAGGTAAACTGAGGAATGGAGAGACCGATATGGCAGAACAGGAGGATATTTATTTTAAGATATGCACCGGCTCAGTGGATTCACATCCAAAAAGCTGAGCATTGAACAAAGACAGAGCGGGGTTTTTATAAGCGGGCTTACAAAAGCAAAACAAAGGCAGTTAACCATATAGTGCATAACTTGTGGCCTTGCATAGCTGGTGGCCTTGTAGCTGAGACAAAAGAAAAACAAGAACTAGCTAAATACAGACATTTGTAAAACATAGTTATGCTTAAGAAGCCAGGGAAAGGAGTAACAGTAAAGGAATTTGTCTTTCTTTTTTTTCCTTTCAACCTTGCTCTGGAGGAAGGAGTGGGTGTCTGGAGCCCATTCCTTTGGCCTTGGCTTTTCGGACAGCCTTATCTTATAACTGTCCTTGAAGTGAGCTGCTAAGCAGAGGAAAACTTGCTTCTTTTCTTTTTAACCCTTGCCTTGCCTGTTACTTTTCTCGGAGTGAATTAATGCATATTTATTTTTAAATTTCTGCCTCAGCCCTTCTTAGACCAGATCTCACCTTTCTTTTCTAGTAATGCAAGTGAGAGCAACATGTTCTTCACAGCAGCAAAGCCATCCCTGTTCATACAGGTTGTGGAGTTACCCTTCTCTCTGCCAATTTGAAGGGTTGCCCAACATTAATCTGGGAAGGGAAAAAGGCTGCCTCCTAATCAGAACAGTAATGAACATTAATAATCCATTCTCCTTCAAGAGACAAATTTAAAAAAACCCAGTAGCAATAAACTAAAAAAAAAAAAAAAAAAAAAAAAAAAAAAGGACAAACTCATCCTTTCCCCTCCACATATTTTTAGCTAACTCTTGAACCCAAGGAGGATTTTACCAATGGCTCTCCAGGAATTAGAGTTGTCACACCAGTCTCCTGTTGCCAGGAAATGAGGAGAGCTGTCCTCATCCACATCTGCAGTACCTAGAATAGCCCCCTCTGGCTCTCCAGAGATTGATTCATTAGGCAGGGTTGTGTTTAGGTGACGCCCACAAACGAGAACATTCATAGCAGCCATCATTTCTCAGTGAATGCGGTCCTGTAAATGCTGGCGATCTTGTAGCAGTGCTGATTAGCGAGTTGCTCCAACACCTCCTCATAATTTTTTCCTGCTCATCACTCACCTGCTTTGTCAAAATGAACAAGAAGGAAGCATGATTGAGCTGTGCACCGAGGCGGCAAGGAAGCCCTGGATGACCCTCTTAACAGGTTCATTTCTTCTTGAGCAAGCTTGTTAAAAGTTAGCATTGCTTAACACAGGCTAATTGGCTTCCCTTTCATTTTCTTCCATCCAAGTTTCTATCGGGAATCTTCCTCAGAATAAAATGCCAAGTTGGTTAGGCACTTTCTTATTTTAGTCTTGAGATTACGTTCTTGCTTCAGGAAAGAGTCAAGTTTAATTTTACTTCCAAATCAGCCCCTTCTTGTTACTCTAATCAACAAGACTTTTCTTGGCTGGGAGGTAGGGGTAGGGGAGGAAAGGAAGGGAGGAAAAAAAGCAAGAAAAACAACCTCCTAAACATCAACAATCATTTTTCTTGCATGTAAGATTATCAACTACTATAGATATAAACATTGTGGTCTAGCACTTCTTTATTTATGACTGTGGCAATGAAAATAACTTGGTACTTAACCAATTATTTTTAAGAGGTGGTAGCACAGTATTTCTTTGAATGTCGAAGAACAGAAATAGAGCCTTTAAGAATTTCTTCCATCTGCCACCCTGAATATTGACTGGGTAGAGATTTAAACAGCATGCATGCAATAGAATTGGCCTCATCGCCCCATCTGTAGAACACAAGCCTGTGAAATCCAGTGTGTCTGTGTGACATGCAATTAGCTCAATCCTGTTTCTCCAGCCAGGGCTCCACTTCATTGTTTGGCCATGGGATGGAGAACACCTTTGCTGGGTGGCAGGATTGACCCTGCTGTAAATAGTGACATTTATAGGAATGAGGACTTTGGATGCCGTGGGAATGACAGTGTGTTAGAAGGCTAAACACTGCATAATGAGGTTGATTGGGAATGCCTTTCAACAGCAGTTTGCTCATTTTAGGGACTTCTCATCACAGGGATAAACAGGAAGCAAAATCTGGGGTATTGGTTTTGTGGTTTCAAATGTCTATTTGAGTTGGAAACTGCTCAAAATGGAAATGGGCTCTTTCTGGAGGTAGCACAGACATCACTTCGAGAGGAGATCCAGAGATGATTAAGATACAGTCCTCGACACAAGGAGCTCCAAGATTTGTAGGGGAGGCAGACGAGTCATTGAAATTGAAAAAATAAAACACCTCGCTGGCAAGGAGTTTGCTCTTGACAAGAAGAAATCAGTCTCTAGACTAATTCTCTTCCTATTGCTGAGACTAGAGCCCTGCCTTGGAATTTGATTTGGCCCAAGGTCAAGAAAATCTCAAGATCATGGGTCCTTGTATAGCTGGGATAGGGGTGGGTCAATGACTCTGCTGTTGGAGAAGGCACTGAGGTAAGGCCGGTTTTTTACGTACCAGGTCCCCAGCTGTGCTCTAGAAACTGCAGAAACAGAACAAAGCATAAGATTTGAAAACAAACAAATACACTCTGCACGTTGGAAGCAGGAGAAATCTTGGCATAGTATGCTGTTGTGGAGTGAGGGAGATTTTTCTCTTTCTTTATATAGATTCAGGCAGGATTGTGTCTGAGACCAGCACTACGTCTGAATCATTGTGAGTCACTGGGAGGGAGGTATAACTGTGCCCTGTAAGCGGGTCTCAGGGTGGAGAATCACTCTGAAGGATTAAAGGTGGGGCCCTTGGAAAACGATGAATCCTGAAGCAGAAAGCAAAGCTAGCCACTTCAATGCACTTTTAATGGGGTTAGCACTTTTCATTTTCCTAGGATTCTGGGAATGATTCATTTAGCGTTTGGTGTTAAGGTTCTTCCCTCCCCACATTTCAATTTCATATACATTTTCCCTTCCATCTAAAATGTCAGAAAAGCCTGTTACACAGCCTGTGTCACTGTATTGTGGAGAATGTAGGGACAGGGCAGCAGTGGGAGAATTGGCCTGGCCTGCATCAGCTCTCTGCGGAGGTCAGCTTGATGGCAGTGATCCTGGGATGTCAGTCAGCCTCCACTCCCTGGACCTATTTTCCCCAAATTACCAGGGAAAGGTGAGCCTTAAAAAGAAGATCATGAACTGGGTGCAGTGGCTCACACCTGTAATCCCAGCACTTTGGAAGGCCGAGGCAGGTGGATCACCTGAGGTCAAGAGTTCAAGACCAGCCAGGGCAACATGGAGAAACCATATCTCTACTAAAAATACAAAAATCAGCTGGGTGCGGTGGTGCGTTCCTGTAATCCCAGCTACTTGGGAGGCTGAGGCAGGAGAATCACTTGAACCTGGGAGGCGGAGGTTGCAGTGAGCTGAGATCGTGCCACTGCACTCCAGCCTGGGTGACAGAGTGAGACTCTGTTTCAAAAAAAAAAAAAAAAAAGAATCATAAAACACTTGGGTCACATCACAAATACTCAAAAAACAGGGCAAGTGCATTCTTAGAGTTTTCTAAGCAGAGAGGTTTTAACTGTTCCTCTTCACCCCCGATTCCCCTGTCCTATCTATTTGCACTGGGCAATTGCAGCCACAATTCTGTTCTCCCTGGGAGCCCCACAAAGCTATCTCAGCCACCAGCCAGCACCTCATTATTCCTTCTCTGCTGCTTTTGCTCCAGTAGCATTGCCCCATTCACTGCCCGTATCAAAGGCACCCACATTGGGCTGCCCACATCTGTTGCTGCCAATACACTGCAAACTGACCTGCCTCTCCCCTGTCCCAAGTCCCTCAAGGGATTCAGCACACAGCTCCTTGGTTTGGCCCCTCCTTAGAAGCCTGTCTCTCCAGCTCTCATTCAGGGGGCTGTGGCAACTGACACGGAAGACATTCAGGGAGGCAGACACTGTTAGTCCTTAGAAGAGTTACTTTTCTTATGCATTGGCTTCCATTAAAGTTCAAACTTTAACATAGACCATATTTTCCTTCCTATGGTCCCAAGACCCTCTATGATCTGAATCCCACCTTCTTTTCCAGCCGCATCTCTCCCCACCCGCTTCACTCTCTTGTGGCTTCCTAAACCTGCCATGCAGTCTCTCACACACTAGTCTTTGTAAATACTGCTCCCTCGCCTGGCAGACTTTTCCTTTAGCCTCGCCCACTTTTCCCTTATTTGGACTGAGTCCTACTCATCCTTCTGGCTTCAGCTGTGATACCACTTTTTCTAGGAAGCTACCCCTGTCTATTCCCAATATAGGAGAAGGTTGCTCTTTTGTGCTTCCAGGGTACCCTATGCCATCATCAAAAGGATGTCACTTAACACCGTACTATCTGTTGACTTTTCCATCTCTCCTGTCAGACTGTGTGTTCCTTAAGAGCAGGAACTATATCCTATACTGATTAAAAAAATTTTTTTTTAGAGACAGGGTCTTGCTCTGTCACCCAGGGGGAGTGCAGTGGCACAATAATAGCTCACTGCAGCCTCCTTGAAATCCTGGGCCCAAGTGATCCTCTGGGCTCAGCCTCCTGAGTAGCTAATTTTTCTTTTCTTCTTCTTCTTTATTTTTTTCGTAGAGACAGTCTTGCTATGTTGCTTAGGTTGGTCTTCAACTCCCAGCCTCAAGTGATCCTCCCACCTCTGCCTACCAAAGCGCTAGGATTACAGATGTGAGTCACTGTGCCTGGCTGGTTTTATTTGTCATTTTATTGCAAGGGAACAAGAGGTGCTAATCGACTGTTGAATAGATGGTGACACATTGCCTGGGACCAAACTTGTATGCCTTGAGTCTCTTCTTTTAAGACAAGTTTTTCTCCAAGAGGGAACACGTCCCCACTGCACTTAGGTTCCTGATAGGCTTAACTCATTGGTCCTCTGGCCTGAGTTTTAGAGACTCCTCCTATATATGGATCTATTAGAGATAGGAAAAAAACAAAAGTGTTTTTTCATTTATTTGTTTGTTTTGGGGTTTTTTGTTGTTGTTGTTTTGTTTTTTTGAGACAGGGTCTCACTTTGTCACCCAGGCTGGAGTGTAGTATCGAAACCATGGCTCACTATATCCTCGACCTCCAGGGTTCAACGATCCTCCCACCTCAGTCACCCAAGTAGCTGAGGCTACAGGCATGCACCACCATACATGGATAATTTTTGTATTTTTTGTAGAGACAGGGTTTTGCTATGTTGCTTAGGCTGGTCTCAAACTCCTCAGCTCAAGCGATCTGCCCGCCTCAGCCTCCCAGAGTGTTGGGATTATAGGTGTAAGCCACCATGCCTGGCCAACCAAAGTGTTTTTTTCTACTCCCACCCACCACAACAGTTCTGACACCAGATGTGTGGGTTTTTTCCCCACACACCAAGCAATTCTGGCACCAAATTCTCCATCAGACACCAACTGGATGCCCTATAATTTAATTCAATTCCAACACTGTCTGCCTAGGCACAGCATCAGATCCCACAGGTTCGGGGCTCAGTCTCAGAAGACTGCCCCCCACTTCCAATGCCAGTTAAGAACCCTACATTGTGACCTGTGCTTCTGAACAACCGACTATAAATCAAGGTTCCTAGGACCCTCTCCTTGGGTTAGATTAATTTCCCAGGGTGGTTCACAAAACTAAGGGAAACACTTCCCTTACATGTATTGGTTTAATAATAAAGGGTGCAGATGAGCATTCAGATGGAAGAGATGCACAGGGTGAAGCATGTGGGAAGGGGCACGGAGCTCCGCGCTGTTTCTAGCACTCCACCCTCCAGGCATCTCCACAGGTTCAGCTACCCAGAACCTGCTTCTGAACCCACTCCTTCTGGGTTTTTATAGCGGCTTCATTATGGAGGCAAGATTGATTAAATCACTGGCCATTGATGATTGACTTAACCTTCAGTTCATCTCCCTTTCCTGGAGTTTGGGGGGATGGGACTGAAAGTTCTAACCCTAGAATCCTGCCTTGATCTTTCTGGTGACCTGTCCCCATCCTGAAGCTATCTAGTGGCCGCCAGCCACCAGTCATGTCAAATAGCATAAAAAAGACACTTACCATTCAGGAGATTCCAACAGTTTTAGGAACTGTGTGCCAGGAACCGGGGCAGAGACAAAATATAAATTTTTTATTATATCACTATATCACAGCATCTGATAGGGATGGGCCACCACAATGCTTCCCAAACTTTAATTTGGGTAGGAATCACCTGGGATCCTGTTGAAATGCAGATTCTGGCTCAGTAGTTGGGACGGAGCCTGAGATGCTGATACTGCTGGTTGGGAACTCACACCTTGAATGGTCAGACACAAAAGTAATTGTCTGTGCAGTCTCTTTAAACTGATTCCAGAATTCTAACATAAAAGAACTGGGAAAAGTTGAAAATAATGGAGGAAACTTTCTAGAAGTTTTATTTTTTATCATGTTTGGTTTTATTAAGAACGGAAGTATTGGTGGAGCGCAGTGGCTCACGCCTGTAAACCCAGCACTTTGGGAGGATCACATGAGCCCAGGAGTTCGGAACCAGCCTGGGCAACACGGTGAAACCCCATCTCTATAAAAAATACAAAAAAAATTAGCCAGATATGGTGGCACATGCCTGTAGTCCCAGCTACTCGGGAGGCTGAGGTGGGAGGTTCACTTGAGCCCGGGAGGTGGAGGTTGCGGTGATCCACCACACTCCAGCCTGGGTAATAGAGTGAGACCCTGTCTCAAAACAAACAAACCAAACAACACAACAGAAGTTTTCTTTTTTAAGTGCATGTGGCCACCACTGTAGGTTGGCTCTGCTTACTCCTATGACCAATCCTCTTCTCCCTCTTCTAACACAGAGGCTGCCAAGGCTCCAGCGCCCACTTTCTCAGCCTCCCTTGCTGCTCAGGATGAAATATGTAGAGCTGGAGAAGAGACATGGTTAGTCCTTACGTCCTGCCTTAAATGATGATGTGATGGCCATTATCTGGATCCTTCATGGAATTTCGGCAGTTCCAACGTGTCAGGCCAGTGTCTGGGATTCTCTCAGCCTTTCGCTTTTTCCCCTGGGAGTCGGACAGCTGCTGCAGCTCAGTCAGACCAAACCTCTCTGAATACCACCAAGAATCGGGTCAGTTTCGCATCTCCTTGATCATAATTTTTTCTGCAGCTGGTTTGTTTGAATCAGAATTATATTACATTTTTGGTCATTTTAAACAATATTGGACATCTTAAACTCTAGACTTTTTTTTGTTTTTGAGACGGAGTTTCAAAAAACTCAGGCTGTAGTGCAATGGCATGATCTTGGCTCACCGCAACCTCCACCTCTCGGGTTCAAGTGATTCTCCTGCCTCAGCCTCCCGAGTAGCTGGGATTACAGGCATGTGCCACCACGCCTGGCTAATTTTGTATTTTTAGTAGAGACACGGTTTGTCCATGTTGGTCAGGCTGGTCTTGAACTTCCAACCTCAGGTGATCCTCCCACCTAGGCCTCCCAAAGTGCTGGAATTACAGGGTTGAGCCACAGCGCCTGGCCCTAGACTTCTTTTTATGAGATAAAAATAAATCTCTGTTTAAGCCAGTCTTACTAGAGTTTTATGATCCTTGCATTCAAACTGTAATACAGTATGCAGTTTTTCAAAAATTTCTTCTTCTTTTTTTGTTTTATAGGCAGGATCTTGCTATGTTGTCCAGGCTGGTCTCAAACCCCTGGCCTCAAGCGATCCTCCCACCTCAGCCTCCCAAAGTGCTGGGATTACAAGCATGAGCCACCACATCCAGACAGAATGCAATTTTTAAAAATTAATATTTATATTCTCTCATTAGCAAACTGATACACACTACTTACAGAAATCTTTAAAAATATTTAAAAAGTAGAAATAGGGGGAAAAATTAGAGCTCCAGTCACCGAAGTACTCTTAACATTTTGACATATTTTCTTCCAGTGTTGTGCAGTTGTGATAATATGGTACAACAAATTTGTGTCCTTTTTTGTTTACCATTAAAATGAGCACCTTAAGAATTTCTTTTTGGAATGATGAAAATATTCTAAAATTTATTGCGGGAATGATTGCATAACCCTATGAATATACTAAAAATCATTGAACTGTAACCCTCAGTAGGTGAATTATATGGCATATAAATTATTTATCTCTCTCTCTACATATATATATTTTAAGAGATAGGGCCCAGGCTGGAGTGAAGTAGTGTGATCACAACTCACTGCAGCCTTGAACTCCTGGACTCAAGCAATTCCCCTATCTCAGCCTTCCACAATAAAGCTATTTTTTAAAAAAATTTTTAAATAAGCATTTTCAGGCTGGGCATGGTGGCTCATGCCTGTAATCCCAGCACTTTGGGAGGCCGAGGCAGGTGGATCATGAGCCCGGGCTGTTGCCCAGGCTGAAGTGCAGTGGCACGATCTCTGCTTACTGCAACCTCTGCCTCCTGGGTTCAAGTGATTCTCCTGACTCAGCCTCCCGAGTAGCTGGGACTACAGGCATGCGCCACCACACCCGGCTAATTTTTTGTATTTTTAGTAGAGACAAGGTTTCGCCATGTTGGCCAGGCTGGTCTTGAACTCCCGACCTCAAGTGATCCACCCACTTCGGCCTCCCAAAGTGCTGGGATTACAGGCGTGAGCCACCATGCCCAGCCTTTGGTGCTTTTTTGTACCTAGAATTAGCTCCTCCCATATTGTGCCAAAGTGTAACATTGCTTAAGCATTTATTGAGTGCTTGCTACAAGTCAGGTGTGGACCACACTAAGTCCACTACTCACATTATTTCCTCAAATTCTTCATCACCCTAAGAGGCCTATTCTACCCCTATTTTTGAAAGCTGAAATTGAAACTCCAGGAGGACAACTAACTCACCCAAGGTCACAGGGCCGATAAAGAGAGGAGCCGGGTGCCTACACAGCTCTGCCTGGTCCCTGAGGCCATGGTTATTACATTCCTTTGTCAGATGGTAATTTTTTAGAACCTTGCTAAGTTTCAAAGGCAAAAATGCTATCCTGTTCTAAATTGTTTTCATGGTGTTGGACATTTCTTTGTGTTTACTAAACTAGACACATTCTTCTGCTGTAAATTAGCTGTTTCCCAGAATTGGCTATACAATTGGAGGAGTGAATAAAATGCGACCTATGGCTTGTCACCATACTTAGAAAGAAAAACGCCAGACAGTTTCCTTGTTTGACGCCTGCTCAAATATGGAAGCACCTTTAATGAGAGTTGACATGACTTGGGGGATTTCCTAACCATCATGCTCTTAACACAGGTGCCTGGTTAGGCAGGTTCCTTCCACCTGGCTGAGCCCAGACACCGATCTGTGAGAGCAGCACAGTGCAAGGGAAGGCTCCCTGCAAGGGAGGGCTGCAGGCTAGGCTGGCCCTTCAGGGTAGTGTTTTGGTTCTTTCCTGAAGCAGGAGGCCTCGCTTGGAGCATTGCTTTGCTCCTAAATTACTTAACCAAACAGCGACTTATTTTCCACAGTCAGGTAGACAAACACCACAATGATGAAAATACCAAGCACAGCAAGCTTCAAGCCCACTGGGAAACCTTCTTCTCTCCAGCTCTCGATAGTCTGGTCTTCCGCGCAGTAGTCTCTCTCTTTGGTGATAGTCCCATATGTGATTCTGGTGCTTGGTGCTCTTGCAGCCCACCTGTGAAAACATCAGTGGCTCTTAGGATTGTGGACAGCTGTGGTGCACTTGAGTAGCCCCTTAAAGTGTGTGGGTCTTGAAGCCCAAGGGTGCAGTCATGGTGGGGCTTTAGAGGTAGCCTCTCCTTACTAAAAACCTAGGCTAATTTCTTTTTTTTTCTTTTAAGACAGGATCTTGTTCTGTTGTCCAGGCTGGAGTGCAGTGGTACAATCACAGCTCACTGCAGCCTTAACCTCCTGGGCTCAAGACATCCTCCCACGTCTGCCTCTCGAGTAGCTCGGACCACAGGTACATGCCACCACCCCCAGCTAATTAAAAAAAAAAATTTCGTAGGCCAGGTGTGGTGGTTCACACCTGTAATTCCAGCACTTTGGGAGGCCAAGGCAGGCAGACTGCTTGAGCCCAGGAGTTCGAAACCCTGTCTCTACAAAAAATATAAAAATTAGCTGGGCATGGAGGCTGAGATGGGAGAATCAGTTGAGCCGAGGAGTTTGAGGCTGCAGTGTACTATGATTGTGCCACTGCACTCCAGCCTGGGTGGCAGAATGAGACCCTGTCTCCAAAAAAATTAAAAAATAAATTTTTTTGTAGAGACGAGGGCTCACCATGTTGCCCAGGCTGGTCTCAAACTCCTGGGCTCAAGGGATCCTCCCACCTCAGCCTCCCAAAGTGCTGGGATTACAGGCGTGAGCCACTGTGCCCAGTCTCTAATTTCAACAAGTGATACTAACAGCGTATTGGGGGATATGAGGTCTCTCAAATCCCACAAAACATTTCTTCATTGTTTCCACCCACTTGTGTATCACTTCTCAATGCCGGCATAAAGCCTGACTTGGCACAGGCCTTGCAGATCCCCAAGTCCTCGCTGGGAAATTGTATAAGTGGATGGGAAGCCTCAGTACTCAGGCCCCCTCCTTCCTCCCTTCTCAAGTACAAACACCACCTTTCAGGGTGGAGAGGAAAAGCGCCTTTGCAATCTGCTTATTTTGCACTTAAAAAGGCAAGAGTACTTTCTGAAATTTTTTTGCAAGAGCCTTATGTTTCCACTAGCCTAATTCTGCAAAACCTGCTGAAGTTTATTCAGAAGTTAGGAAACTCTCCAGAAAGCTTTACTTTCTGACTAATACAATTGCCTGTCTTGAGCTTTTATTTGAACTACTTACTCTTTTTATTCGTTTTTAAAAATTGATACATAATAGATTTACATATTTGAGGGTATATGTAATTTTATATTACATACATATTTTTTTGAGACAGGGTCTCACTCTGTTGCCCAGGCTGGAATGCAGTGGCGTGATCATAGCTCACTGCATTGCAGCCTTGAACTCCTGGGCTCAACTAATCCTTCTGCGTCAGCCTCCCAGGTAACTGGGACTGTAGGCACATACCACCATGCCTGGCTAATTTTTAAATTTTTCTGTAGAGACAGGATCTCACTATTTTGCTTAAGCTGATCTCAAACTCCTGGCCTCAAGTGATCCTCCTACCTCAGCCTCCCAAAATGCTGGGATTACAGGCATGAGCCACTGTGCCCAGCCAACATGTGCTATTCTGATACCTTCATATAATGTGTAAAGATCAAATCAGGGTAATTAGGATATCCACCACCTTAAATATTTATCTTCTCTTTATGCTAGGAATGTTTAAATTATTCTCTTCTAGCTATTTTGAAGTGTTCAATAGGTTATTGTTAACTAAAGCCACTCTTCTGACCTATTGAACCCTAGGTCTTATTTATCCTATTTAACTGTGTATTTATATCCTTTTTTTTTTTTCTTTTTTCTTTTTTTTTTTTGAGGCAGAGTCTCGCTCTGTCACCCAGGCTGGAGTGCAGTGGCATGATCTCGGCTCACAGCAAGCTCCGCCTCCCTGGTTCAAGCAATTCCCCTGCCTCAGCCTCCCGAGTAGCTGGGATTACAGGCGCATGCCACCACGTCTGGCTAATTTTTTTGTGTTTTTAGTAGAGATGGGGTTTCACCATGTTGGCCAGACTGGTCTCGAACTCCTGACCTCAGGCAATCCATCTGCCTCAGCCTCCCAAAGTGCTGGGATTACAGGCAAGAGCCACCGCACCCGGCCTTATATCCTTTACATTTTTTTTTTTTTTTTTGCCTCTTGCCCACCTTCCAAGGCACAAATAGAAAGAAATGTTTCCAAATGGCTACACATCAGGAGACTTGGGCTGTGATCTCAGTCCACTGCGACTTTTGCCCTGTCTTCCCAGTTCTCCCGGGCCTATTTCCTTATCTCTAAATATGAACAATGAACTAGTAACTTTGGCTTTGAAATTGTTGGATATTACAAATCTTTCTCCTTTCTCAACAGATTCTTTTCAGGCTAAACCCTTCACAGAAATCTGAATAATTAGTTTTTTCCAGAGCTACAGAATACAATAATATCAATTTCCACATATGCTAAAAAACATCATTACCTTCTTCCCTTGGAAGGCTTATAATCCAAGCAATAGGTATCTACAGCTTTGCGTTTAGTGGTGGAAGCCTCAGGCCACTGATAAACAGAAAGAAAATGTCAAGAGGAATTTGTTTCCAATGTCTTATACAAATAACCTTGGTTTTTATTCTAGAAAAAGTCACATAATATGCCAAAAGTTCTTGGCACATTAGGTAGTTTGGTACTTTAAAATACAAACTTGTTTGTCTTTATTCAAGAATTAGCAAAAACATCTAAGTTCCATGGAGTAATATTTTACTTCAGTGACTCGCATGAGAACAATACACATACAAGGGACTAGGGCCACGTGATGAGAACAGCACTCTGTTCTTAAATATCAGCTCTATTTTGCTTCTTTATTTGTACTTTATTGCTTGGAGCTCTTTTTTATGAGCATGCATCATTTTCTACAAAGAATAAAGTAATTTTAACAAAGCAAGTTGACTATGAACAAGGACTAGAAAATAATTTAGGAGAACGAAATGTTGCTTTGTAAGAGAAGTAGGAGCAATTGTAGGGGACTCCCAGGAATGTGAAGATGGGATGTCAGATGATGTTGCTAATTCTATTGATCAAGCGCTAAGCCCCATTTACCCATTAACTCACTGAGGCCTTCCAGTGAGCACCACCTGCGAGGGAGCACTCCACCCCTATCTAGTAAGCACTATTCTGTTCTGGAAATGAGTCTGAGACACAGAAAGGTTAAGTAACTTGCTAGAGGCTACACAGTATTATCAGTGGAGAACTACGTGCTTGGACTACTACACTAGACTTCTCTCTACCCTTCAGTTTCTAAAAGTAATTTCCCCCATAGGAAATCTTGATTACTCTCATCCACTCAGATCACTCTTCTATGCTATATTTCTTCAGCCCTAATATACACATTTTGTACTGTAGTGTTTTGTTTGTTTGTTTTTGGAGACAGAGTCACCCAGGCTGGAGTGTAGTGGCACGATCTTGGCTAACTGTAACCTCTGCCTCCTGGGTTCAAGTAATTCTCCTGCCTCAGCCTTCTAAGTAGCTGAGATTACAGGCACTCTTCGCCGCGCCTGGCTAATTTTTGTATAATATTTTTAGCAGAGACGGGGTTTTGTCATGTTGGCTAGGCTGGTCTCAAACACCTGGCCTCAAGCAATCCACCCGCCTCAGCCTCCCAAAGTGCTGGGATTACAGGTGTGAGCCACTGTGTCCAGCCCTTATGTTTTATTTATTCATTTAACAATTATTTGTTGCGTGCTGCTGAGTGCCAGGCCTGACGCCGGCTGTGAAGATTTCAGAAGGGCCTGCCAAACCGTCCCTGTCCAAAACAGCTCACTATCAAGCATGGTTATTTTGTAAGTGTTCTGCACTGGCTTCCTTCTTCCCTAATCAGACCATCTGTTGGATCTCATGGAGCTGTCTCCTATTTCTCTGTAATCAAGCCACAGTATCTAACATTTGGGGCCACTGGTAACTTGCCGTCTACTCCCATGCTGGAAGCCCAGGACCCTTGAACATAAGAGGCGCCTTCTGACACCTGCGGTGCTGTCAGAGCCTGCAGGCTGCAGACAGTGAGTCAGGAACTGGAGAATTCCCAGGAGTGGTATAAGGAGCTGGGACTCGCGTCAGACAGGGAAAGGACTGACAGAGACCAGGACAGAACAAGAAGCACAAGGAAAGTCAAGAGGAGAGTAATGACCGCAATCCCAAGGTAGACTGGACTGGAGTGTCTGGAGGGTCCGACAGGAGAAGGGCATTTGTGTTCATCACGGAGCTACTAGGAGAAAGAAGAGCCTGGGTCTTAGCAAGGATGTGGTCAGGACACAACAATAGAGTGGACCCCTCCAGTGAGTGTGGACTATGACTTATGGCAGGCCCAAGGGTCCCAGCGCAGGGTGGGGTGGGGAGGGCATGGCTTGCTGTAGCATCACGCACTGCTAGTCACCATCTACCCAGTACAGGTCACCAATGATGGAACAGCTACAGCCTCCTCCCCTTCCCCTGTACTCCCTGTGCCCCCTTCTTTTTTTTTTTTGAGATGGAGTCTCGTTCTGTCACCCAGGCTGGAGTGCAGTGGCGCGATCTCGGCTTACTGCAAGCTGCGCCTCCCAGGTTCACGCCATTCTCCTGCCTCAGCCTCTCGAGTAGCTGGGACTACAGGCACCTGCCACGATGCCTGGCTAATTTTTTATATTTTTTAGTAGAGGTGGGGTTTCACTGTGTTAGCCAGGATGGTCTCGATCTCCTGACCTTGTGATCCGCCCGCCTCAGCCTCCCAAAGTGCTGGGATTACAGGCCTGAGCCACCGCGCCCGGCCCCTGTGCCCCCCTTCTTAAACATGTTCTCAACAGTGGTTTAGCGATACCCAAGCAAGGCCTTTGCATATGTGGGAAGTTGTGCACCATGCAAGAGTGCCACATGCAAACAGCACCTTTCCCCGTGTAGACACTGTAGATTTACATACCCTTACCACATACCCTTCCAGGAACAGGGAAGCAAAGGCTCTTGAGGAAGAGATTTCCCACAAAGGTGCTATGTGGGTTAGTGTTGGCATGCTCACCAAGAGATATTTCAAGCTATTTCCAAGGGTATTGGAAAAATCATTTATAAGCAAATTCTTTTTTTACTTATGGAAAATTTTAAGCATATACAAAAATAGACAACAGTATCATGAACCTCTACATATCCATCACATGCAACTTCTTTTTAATTCGCTTAAATTTAAAAATAGATACGTGAAATAAAGCATTTGGGGCAGAAGTTCATTGCAAAATCAAATGATAGAATTTCACAGCTCCTAGGCAATCAAATACTCCCCTTGTGCCATAAGGAGATTTAGGCCTTTTATTTCCTTTTCTTTTACAATTTGTTTTCTTTGCTATCATTCATATGTAGAGTTCTCCTGCAGTATGTAGAAGGTGGACATTGTCATTTTCAAAAATGGAGTAATTATGGCCTATCTACCTGACTGTGCAGCTATCAATAATAATTATTATTATAAAGGCCATATAACAGGGAAAAGCATTATTGATTAGTGTTAATAAACGGTATAAATTGTACATAAACAGTGATGTCTACTGTGTGAACATATACTAGATATGCATGTAAACAAAAACTAGAGGTAAATTGAAAAAATAAAATCAGTTTTTGCATCAAGTGGTGTGTTTGCAGTTGATTTATATTTCATCTTTTAAAAAATTCCATTAATGCTGTTATAATATGATTTTCACTATAAACAACATTTACAGTGGAGCTAAAAAATATTGGTGTTTATTAAAGCAGTGGCTCAGTGAGGGTAAATGGCACCCAGGAGACACATAATATCTTTGCTCTCTTCTCCTTAGGCCCAGAGCTAGAATCTGCAAAGATGGCTGTTTTAGCAAAGCATTTGGAGCCCAGAGCTGGGGAATATGTGGCCCCCTCTGCTTTTCCACCCTCTTTGCTATACCTCGGCATTCAAGTCCGAAAATTCCACCACACTCCCAAGGCCTGAAGCATATTGCTGGCCACAGCTGTAGTTAGTTATAAAAGTAGTAAGTCAGAGATATGCCAATACAACAAACTGTGACTGTCTCACTACAACACTAGCTAACACGTATATGGCATTCCCTGTGCACCAGGCACCATTCTAAGCATTTTACATCAGTAAACTAATTTCATTCTCAAAACCACCCTATGTGAAAGGTGCTTTTATTGTGCCCATTTTACAGATGAGAACCCTGAGGCATGGAGCGTTTAAGTAGCTTGCCCATGCTTACACAGCTGGTGAGGCAATGGAGCTAAGAGCCCCACAGTCCCTGCCCATAATCACCACATGGTACTGCAGCATGATAGTGGAGGGAATTAGAAATACCATGTTCTGAACATCTATTATCTTGGGCATTTAACATACTTCAATTCACTTAATCTTTCTTTCTTTTTTTTTTTTTTGTGACAGAGTCTTGCTCTGTTGCCAGGATGGCGTGCAGTGGCGTGATCTCGGCTCACTGCAATCGCCGCCTCCCAGGTTCAAGTGATTCTCCTGCCTCAGCCTCCTGAGTAGCTGGGATTACAGGCGCGAGCCACAACACCCAGATAATTCTTTTGTATTTTTAGTAGAGACGGGGTTTCACCAGGATGGCCTTGATCTCCTGACCTTGTGATCCAACTGCCTCGGCCTCCCAAAGTGCAGGGATTACAAGTGTGAGCCACCATGCCTGGCCAATTCACTTAATCTTTCTAACAACTCTAGGAGGTAATTATTACAGTCACCGTTTTACAGAGGAGGAAGTAGAGGCTTAGGGAGCTGAGTTATTTGCCCTAGACAACACAATTCATAAAAGGCATAGCTATAATTTAAACCCAGATATTCTGGCTCCAATGCTGTAAAAATACATTTCTATTATTATAGAAGAACTCATCATTGAAAATATGTCAAAACATGTTTTTAAAAACTTTTCATTAATTAATAAATTATCAAAATCATTAATTTCCTACGGAAGTAACATTTTTAGTCAATAGTTCCATTCTTAATTTCTCGGATGAATTGACATTTTCATAAGGGTGTTTTTTTCCAGGTGGACTATTTTGTGCTAATTCTGGCCTACTTAGGTATATCACAGTCAGTCTGAAATAATATTGCATATGACATTTTATGTCATACTGTATCACATTACAGTTAACTACAAAACACTGGGCTAACATCCAGAGCCAGAAAGAACAATAATCATTTTGTATTCTCATTAAAATCACCAAAAAGTACATTTGCTTTCTTTTTTTTTTTTTTTTTTTTTTTTTTTTTGAGATAGAGTCTTGCTCTGTCGCCCAGGCTGGAGTGCAGTGCCACAATCTCGGCTCACTGCAACCTCCGCTTCCCGGGTTCAAGCAATTCTCCTGCCTCAGCCTCCCGAGTAGCTGAGACTACAGGTGCATGCCACCATGCCTGGCTAATTTTTGTATTTTTAGTAGAGATGGGGAGTCACTATGTTGGCCAGGCTGGTCTTGAACTCCTGACCTTAAGTGATCCACCCACCTCAGCCTCCCAAAGTGCTGGGATTACAGGCGTGAGCCACTGTGCCCAGCCTACATTTGGTTTTTTAAAAATAATCTACCTTGACTAGAGCCATCACTAACTGTCCATAAAGAAATACAAGTTTGTTTGCATTTCCACAAGACATATATTTACCGTGTAGGCTTGAAGTTGGCCAAAATTTCACAGGCTGACACCTGCAATTAAGGGTAGTCAAGAAAAGGGTGCTGAGAGCCCAGTTTCCTACCCTTTCTTTCTCTTATTCTCCCAAGACTCCTTACCGCTGGACTTGGAGAAGTCAGAAGGCAGGGATGTCCCTGAAGCTTAGGGATGGCATTCTCTCCAAACTGAAACATAATACATTCTCCAATTGCTCTAATTCAATAATGCAATTACTTCTTAAAGGCCTATATGTAGAATTGGACACTTTTACAAATGACATAGCAAACTGGAAGTTATGACCTGATTACAGGCAGAAAAAAGAAAAACTTCCTTTTGATTTACAGACCTTTAAAACTGAGTTAACTCCAAATCCCTTTATTGACTAAAAATTATTAAGTTGGTAAAAGATCTATAATCTTAGCAGACTTTTACTTCATTGTTTTTGCCTGAATCCTGATATGATAAAGCTTTTATTTAAAACGTTGTGTTCTCTTAACCCAAGTAATGATTTTGAATTAACTAAAAGGCTTTAAAAATTATCTGCACCACATTAACAAAAGCAAGGTTAAAAACCTTATGATCATCTCCATTCCTGGTTTTTAAAAAATCTTCTAGCAACCAGGGGAGGTGGCTCACGCCTGTAATTGCAGCACTTTGGGAGGACGAGTCAGGTGGATCACTTGAGGCCAGGAGTTCGAGACCAGCCTGGCCAACATGGTGAAACTCCACCTCTACTAAAAATACAAAAATTAGCCGGGCATGGTGGTGTGCATCTGTAATCTCAGCTACTTGGGAGGCTGGGGCAGGAGAATCGCTTGAACCTGGGAGGTGGAGGTTGCAGTGAGCCGAGATTACGCCACTGCACTCCAGCCTGGGCGACAGAGCTACACTCTCTCTCTAAAAAAAAAAAAAACAACAAACTTTTAGTAAACCAGGAATAGGAACTTCCTTAACTTGATAAAAGACATGTTCAAAAACCTACACCATAAGTCATACTCAAAGGTAAAATATTAGAAGTATTTCCTTTAAAATCAGGACCAAGGAAAGAATGTCCACTGTCATCGCTCTACTTCACTAGTATAATAAAAAGTCTTAGCCAGCACAGTAAAACAAAAAGAAATTAAAGCTATACAAACCAGGCTACAAAATAATCTGCAGAAAAAGTATTACAATTGCAAAGAGTTTATTGTTGTAAAATCAATATACAGAAGTCAACTTCATTTCTATACACCAGTAACAATTTAAAATATGCTTTAAAAGAGGTCCTATTCCCAATGGAGCAAAAATTAAAAGCCTACCTACTAATAAAGCTAACAAAAGATGAGCATATCCTTTACTAAGAAAATTATGCAATCTTACTGAAGGACATTAAAGGAAATTTCAATAAATGTAAAGAAATTAAAATTCCCATTTAAATACACAGGAACACAAAGATGGGAACAATAAGCAGGGGATTCCAAAAGGGGCAGCGAGGAAGGCAAGGGCTGAAAACACATGTTTATGTTTACTACCTGGGCGATGCGATCATTAGAAGCCCAATTCTCAGCACCGCACAATATACCTGTGTAATACCTGTGTAACAAACCTGCGCAAGTACCCCCTGAATCTAAAATTTTAAAGTAAATAAATAATCCATTAAAAATACCGATGTATATATGGAAACTTGATATATGACAAGAACTAACATTGCAGCTCAGAAGAAAAAAAAATGGACCATTGGAAAACAGTATTGGGAACAAATTGGGGTAGATGTACTTCTCTCAATTTATTCTGCTAAGTACAGCCAATCCCCCTGGACATTATACCTAAAACAAGCCTATGAAGACTCTGGAAGATATAGAGAGAAGGTCCACAGGCCAGGGAGCTTGAGACTTAGGGAAGACAAGGTGGTGAGTTCCCAGGGTTTGTTTTTTTTTTAATTTATATGTCCTGGACTGGGAGCTGGAGGAGCTGACAACCTGGAAACACCAAGGGATGCAGGTGAAAAAAAGCTCCCGGAAAAGCCAAAAGACAAGGAAAAGGGCAGCCTAGTAAAACAAAAAATTTTTTGATGTTAACTGCCCTGTGGCAGCCAAACAGCCCATCTCCGCCCCTACTAGCCAAGATGCATGAGAAGCCTGGACTTTCACCTCCATGTGGCAAACCCTCCTGCTCCGCGCCTGGGTGGTGTCAATGGAGCGCACATGGGAGCCCTCCCAGCAGCCCAGGAGTAAGGAGGCATCCCCCGCCTCCACGCACACCCCAAGGTGTCCCCAGTGGGAGCCTGGACTTTTACCTCCACCTGGCAGCAAAGAGGCAGTGCCCCTCTTTTCCCACCAGCATAGAGTCAGAAAAGGTCTGCTAAAACAAGATTTAAAAGCCACCCAGAAGGCCGGGTGTGGTGGCTCATGCCTGTAATCCCAGCACTTTGGGAGGCCAAGGCAGGTGGATCACTTGAGGTTAGGAGTTCGAGACCAACCTGGCCAACGTGGTGAAACCTCGTCTCTACCGAAAAAAAAAAAAAAAAAAGCCGGGCATAGTGGCAGGCACCTGTAATCCCAGCTACTCAGGAGGCTGGGGCAGGAGGATTGCTTGAACCCGGGAGGCGGAGGTTTAAATGAGCCAAGATCACACCACTGCATTCCAGCCTGGGCGACAGAGAGAGACTCTGTCTCAAGAAAAACAAAAAACAAAAACCATCCAGGGTCTCCTGAGGGGAGATCATAATAGACACTGACATCAAGATGATACAAATGTTGGAATTATGTTACCAAGATTTTAAAGCAGCTGTCATAAAATGTTTCAATGAACAATATGAACATGTTTGAAACAAATGAAAAAATATAAACTCTTTGCAGAGAAGTAGAATATATAAAGAAGAACCAAGTGTAAATTTTAGAACTGACAGCCTGCGCAGCAAAGCAAGATCCCATCTCTAAAAATAAAATATAAAAAAATTAGCCAGGCATGATGGTGTGTGCCTGTAGTCCCAGCTACTCGGGAGGCTGAGGCAGGAGGATCGTTTGAGCCCAGGAGTTTGAGGTTACAGTGAACCATGATTGTGCCACTGTACTCCAGCCTGGGTGACAGAGTGAAATCCCGCCTTAAAAAAAAACAAATTAGAACTGAAAAAAATACAACCAAAATATGGACTCAATGGCAGAATAGAGAAGACAGAGAAAAGAATCAATGAATTTGAAGATAGAACAATATAAATCACCCAAGCTGAATGACAGAGAGAAAATAGAAAAAAATAAACAGTGTCTCAGGGTCTCATGAGACTGTAATGAAAGACCTAACATTTGTGTCATCAGAGTCCCTAAAGGAGAGAAGAATGAGGTGGGGCTAAAAAATTTTTTGAAGAAATAATGGCTGAAAATGTCCCAAATTTGGCAAAAGACATAAATCTACAGATCAAGAAGCTGCATGAACCCAAATCAGATAAACCTAAAGAAATCCATGCCAAGACACATCATAATCAAACTTCTGAAAACTTTTGTGTAATAAAGGACATTATCAAGAAAGTAGCCGGGCATGGTGGTACATGCTAATAGTCCCAGCTATTCAGGAGGCTGAGGCAGGTGGACTGCTTGAGCCCAGGAGTTTGAAACTACCCTGGGCAACATAGTTAAAAAGACAATGTATAGACTGGAAAAAAAACTTGCACATCATATATCTGGGGTCTATTATCTAGAATATATAAAGAATTCTTACAACTCAAAAAGAAAAAGAAAACCCAGTCTAAAGATGGGCAAAGGACTTAAACAGACATTTCTTCAAAGAAGATATAGAAGTGGCCAATAAGCACATAAGATTCCTTATAATAAGATAATGACCTATCTTGATATAATGATGTCATAAGATAATGACATCATTAGTCATTAGGGAAATGCAAATAAAAACTACAATGAGATACCACTTTATACCCAGTAGAATGGCTATTAAAAAAAAAAAGGAAGACCGGGCACGGTGGCTCACACCTGTAATCCCAGCACTTTGGGAGGCCGAGGTGGATGGATCACTTCAGGTTAGGAGTTCGAGACCAGCCTGGCCAACATGGTGAAACACCATCTGTACTAAAAATACAAAAATTAGCCAGGCATGGTGGCAGGCACCTGTAATCCCAGCTGCTTGCAGGGCTGAGGCAGGAGAATCCCTTGAACCCAAGAGGCAGAGGTTGCAGTGAGCCGAGATCGTGCCACTGCACTCCAGACTGGGTGACAGAGAGAGACTCTGTCTTAAAAAAAAAAAAAGGAAAATAGCAAGTGTTAGCAAGGATGTGTAGAAACTGCAAACCTCATACATTGTTAGTGGTAACGTAAAATGGCCCAGCCACTGCGGAACACAGTTTGGTACTTTCTCCGAAAGTCAGATATAGAATTATTATATGACCCAGCAATTCCACTCCTAGGTACCTAGCCAAAAAAAAAAAAAAAATGGAAATCAGGTACTCAAATACTTGAACATGAATGTTCATAGTGGCACTGTTCACAACAGCCAAAAGGTAGAAACAACCCAAATGTCCATCAATGGATGAATGAATAAACAAATTGTGGTATATACATATAATGGAATATAATTCAGCCATAAAAAGGAATGAAGTGCTGACGCAAATACATGGACAACATAGATGAACCTCAAAAACCTTATATGAAGCGAAAGAAGTGAAACACAAAACATCACACATTGAATGATTCCATTTATGTGAAATCTCCAGAAGAAGTAAATCCATTAAAACAGCAGATTAATAGCTGCTGCAGGGGTGGGGTGGGGTGGGGTGGGGGGTAGAGCGACTGGCGGGTAACCGCTTAATGGGTATTGGTTTTATTTTAGGGTGACAAAAATGTTTTGGAACTAAAATAGAGGTGGTGGTTTCACAGCATTTTGAATGTACTAGATGCCACTGGATTGTGAACTGTATTATTTGTTTATTTAATTAATTAATTAATTAATTAATTAATTTTTTGAGATGGAGTTTCCCTCTTGTTGCCCAGGCTGGAGTGCAATGGCACAATCTCGGCTCACCACAACCTCCACCTCCCGAGTTCAAGCAATTCTCATGCCTCAGCCTCCCAAGTAGCTGGGATTACAGGTGCCCACCACCAAACCCAGCTAATTTTTGTATTTTTAGTAGAGATGAAGTTTTGCCATGTTGGCTGGGCTGGACTCGAACTTCTGACCTCAGGTGATCCACCCGCCTTGGCCTCCCAAAGTGCTGGGATTACAGGCATGAGCCACCAAGTCTGGCCTATTGATTTATTTATTTTATTTTGAGACCCAGTCTCGCTCATGCCTGTAATCTCAGCACCTTGGGAGGCCGAGACAGGCAGATCACGAGGTCAGGAGTTTGAGACCAACCTGACCAACGTGGTGAAACCCTGTCTCTACTAAAAATACAAAAATTAGCCGGGTGTGGTGACGTGCACCTGTAATCCCAACTACTCTGGAGGCTGAGACAGGAGAATCGCTTGAACCAGGGAGGCAGAGGTTGCAGTGAGCCGAGATCGCCCTACTGCACTACAGCCTGGGTGACACAGTGAGACTCCTTCTCAAAAAAAAAAAAAAGTTAATTTTATATTGTGTAAATGTCATCTCAGTTTTTAAAAATCTTGATTCTTGTCATTGTACTGTGATTATATAAGTGATATTATGTCTTTATTCTAAGGAAATACATACTGAAATTTTGGGCAGAGGTCAAAAAAACATGATGTCTGCAGTTGGATCTGAAATAGGGCAAGGAAAAAAGATAGATAAAATTGTAAAACACCGATGGAAAAATCTTAACCACCTGTAAATTTGGGTATGGTTAGATTCAACATGACCACGTAAGAATTCTTTGTTGGAAACTTTCTGTAATTTTGAAATTATTTCAAAATAGGCTGGCCATGGTGGCTCATGCCTGTAATCCCAGCACTTTGGGAGGCTGAGGTGGGCGGATCATCTGAGGTTGGGAGTTTGAGACCAGCCTGACCAACATGGAGAAACCCTGTCTCTACTAAAAATACAAAATTAGCCAGGTTTGGTGGTGCATGCCTGTAATCCCAGCTACTCAGGAGGCTGAGCCAGGAGAATTGCTTGAACCTGGGAGATGGATGTTGCGGTGAGCCAAGATCATGCCATTGCAATGTAGCCTGGGCAACAAGAGCGAAATTCTGTCTCAAAAAAAAAAAAAAGAAAAAAAAGAGAAAGAAATTGCTTCAAAATAAAAACTACAAATATTAGCACATCTAATTTTTAAAAGGCACCAAGAAGAGAGTAAAAAGACAAACCAAAACTACTGGAAGATACGTGCTACACATATAGCTAGCAAAAGATTGGTAACCACAATATATAACGAGCTTCTATAAATTAAAAAGAAAAAGGTAAACAACCTAATAAAAAATGGGCAAAAGACATGAATAGGCATTTCACAGATGAGAAAACACAAATGACCAATAAATGTGAAAAGATGCCCAAACTTATTAATAATAAAATACATAAAAATTGCAATAATAAAATACCATCTTACACCCACCACACTGACAAAAATAAATCTAGCAACGCTAAATTCTGAAGAAGATTTAGAACAATGGAGCATTTGTTTTTTTTTTAAGACAGGATCTTGCTCTGTCGCCCAGGCTAGAATGCAGTGGCAGGATCAAAGCTCATTGTAGCCTTGAACTCCCAGGCTCAAGCCATCCTCCTGCCTCAGTCTCCTGATAAGCAAGGATTGCAGCTGGGCACCACTATGCTCAGCTGATTGTTTTCTTAAATTTTATTTTTAGAGACAGGGTCTTGCTATGTTACCCAGGCTGGTCTTGAACTCCTTATTTGAACTCCTTCCACCTTGGACTCTCAAAGTGCTGGGATAATAGGCATTAGCTACCATGCCCAGCCCCTGGAGTTCTTAATATATTACTGGGGGAAGCAAAAAATGGTGCAACCATGTTGTAGAGCAATTTAATATAATCTCTTAAGTTGAACATGTGTAGACCCCTTCCATTCAGCAGTCCTACTTGTAGGTACATTCATGCAATCAGAAAAAAAAATTCTTACACATATAAACACTGGGTCCTGTACCACAAAGTTTGTAACAGCATTGTTTGTGTTAGAAAAATTTGAAAATGATCCAAATGTCCAACAAATAGGGAATGAATAAAAATACTTCTCCAATAATTCTATATAGCAGTGAAAATAAATGAACTAAAGCTACCAATAATGACCATGTAAGCTCACAGCATGATGCTGCATGGTAAGGGAAGCTGCAGAAGAAAACCTGCAGTATAATATCATTTAAATGAAATACAAAATCATGAAAAACTGAACTAAAGTTTGTGGATGCTATAAAGAAAAGGGAAAGAAGGATAAGTAGAAAATTCAGGTTAGTGGTTGCCATGGGGGAAAAGGAAGATGTCCCAAGAGGGATACACTGGGGGCTTCAGCTGATTCAGCAATGATTTATTTTTCAATCTTTTGGGTGGGAATCCAACTTCTCATTACGTAATTCTTTATTCCTTTTCATATGCATAATGTATTTTATTTTAAAAGATTTTCAGACACAGTTTTTTCCTCCCCACTTGGGCAAATTCCAGCTACCAATCTGCATATGTCAGCCCATTTCTAACTGTGCTGATTTCTGTGCCATGGTTTTAGTTTGTGATTGGAAGGTTCACCAAGAAGTGCCTCCCATGGACTCTCACTACGTAGCAATCATCAGAAAGACGAGCCTTTGCTTCCGCGGGAAAACAGATGTCCCGAGTCCTTCTGTAATACCATGGAAAGGACACTGAGGGGAGCTATTTCATCACTCAGGTGCCTGGTCTTTTTTTCCTCCCCTGTGGCCTTTTGATATAATGGAGAGGGCAACAGAATGGAAATTAGGCCACTAGATTTCTATTTCCAATTTTCCTCTAATCCTCTATGTGGTCTTGGGCAAGTCATATTCCCTTTCTGCCTGTGTCCTCATCTGTGAGATAAATCACATAGTCTCCTCCAAGAAGGCTGGGCAACACAGCAAGACCTCATCTCCACAAAAAATGTAAAAATTAGCAGGGTGTGGTGGCACACACCTGTAGTCTTAGCTGCTCAGAAGTCTGAGCCCAGGAGGTCGAGGCTATGGAGAGCTATGATCACACCACTGCACTTCAATCTGGGAGATAGAGTGAGACCCTGTCTCAAGAAGAAAAATTATCTATAATAAATCATTCCTGGACTCATGAATTGTAATGAATAATGCCTAGTGCTTACGAAGCCCTGACAAGTCTCAAGAGATTAAAAATAACTCAAGGGTGCTCATATGGGAGGTACAACAGGAAACTCCTCTTCCTAAAATGAAGACATAGATCCCTACTCACAAAGCAAAGTATAATTTAGCTAAAGCCAATATTGGTGTATTCTTAGATGAAAAAGAAAAGAAAGCTGAGTTTTCTAAACAAATCCATATTTTTTTCTACAGGAGAACACCACTGCTCATAACTCAGTTTTATGAAAATAAGTAAGTTTACCCTTATTATCATCTTGGAATCATTATAATCAGTGTTTGGTTCCACTATTTCCTCCTGCTGCTCTTGAATTTCAAAAACTGGGTTCTATTACACAGAAAAGAAATCAACATTTCATCAATAAGATCAAGATATATTGATCATATCTACCAGGAGGTCAATATTTTTACAGGAAGAATGTTAAATTACATTCCTTGTAAAGATGGCATTTAGCAGCTCCCTTAGCACACGTCAAAGGTAAGAAGAAAGGGCTTATTAAGTAGTTCAGACACTATGTAATTTTCTCTTCACTTTGACCCAACTTGAATATACAACTACTACTGGGAATAAGGAAGTTTTTCAATTAATTAAGAAACTATCAGAGAGATGTCTAACATCAGGTCTTCTAAAACCTGTATATACAACTTGAATCACACACTACTTAATGGTAGTCCTTTAATATATATTCCCATGATACACTAGGCCTGCTGGTGGCAGCCTTTGGGGTGGGCCCTGCACATGCTATTGTAGGCTTACAAGGTATCTCATAAGCAACAATAGAAATTGAGGCACAGAGAGTTAAAATCCCATTAAAGTTTTGGCAGAAAGACATTGAAATACACTTAAAATTTGGAAGCAAAAATGAGACGTGAAGTTTTCCTTCCCTTCCTTATCGTCCCCTGGGGTGTCAGTATGCTCTACACACTAAGAAAAGAGGCAGAAGGGACATGGACACAGAAGTGTTGGCATGCCTGGAGGCCAAGAAATGGAGTGGTGAGGTTGTGGAGGGTTTCTGCCTGCCTGGTAGTAGAAGAATTAGAGCAGTGGGAGGGGTAGGGGGACCAGCATGGACACATTAGTGTGCCCTGGGGCAAGGAAGAGGGACAGTGAGGGGAAGGAAGAGGGCTCTCTTGTAGTAGGGGCTGCAAGGGGGTGTTGGTATGTTCCGTGGTCACGGACATAGTTACGGGTGATACAGAGAAGAAAGTGGTTATTGTGACTGGGTGATTAGTTACACTGAGAAAATTAGAAAATTGAGGCTGAGTGTGGTGACTCACGCTTGTAATCCCAGCACTTTGGGAGGCCAAGGCGGGTGGATCACCTGAGGTCAGGAGTTCAAGACCAGCCTGGCCAACATGGTGAAACCCCATCTCTACTAAAAATACAAAAATTAGCCGAGTGTGGTGGTGCAAGCCTGTAGTTCCAGCTACTCGGGAGGTTGAGGCAGGAGAATTACTCGAATCCAGGAGGTGGAGATTGCAGTGAGCTGAGATCACACCACTGCACTCCAGCCTGGGCAACAGAGCGAGACTCCATCTAAAAAAAAAAAAAATAGAAAGCTAAGTGAAAATGTACACACAGTGAGGCTAATGGAATCTATAATCAGAGGATAATGGAATCACTGTCAGATAAGTGATTTTATAAAAGTGAATGATTAGAAAGAACATTGGGTTGTTAGATTGCAATTGGAGATAAATAGAAACTCACAGTTTTTAATTTACATAAAAATAGAGATGTATGTGTGTATACGTATACAGATACATACATTTATTTTCTAGCTCTGTCCACTGAAAAGGGCCTAGAAGCAATGAGACCCAGTAGAAAGGTGCTCACTGAAGGCCTAGATCTTGGTTTCCAAACACCTTGTGAAACACCAAACATCTTGTGAAAGGAATCAAGGCTCCTGGGGCAGGAAAAGTATAAGATGAGTCTGAAACATCTTTTGTGCCAGAAACCAAGGAAGTGCTCAAATAATGATGAGGACATGTCAAAGGACACAGTATCTATCTTGAAGGGGCTCCTACTAGCCAAATCTGGGAGGATTTGAGTATGAAAATAGTGATGTCAGTGGATACAACCCATTGGATGAAAAGAAATCAATGAATTCATACTTACATGAATGAATGAGTGAGTGAGTGAGTTATTGAATGAATAGGGAGAAAGGAAAATGCTTCTTACAGTAGAATGCCAACTAATAAATGAAGAAGGACTGATAGAAATAGAAAATCTCAATAGGCCATCACCACAGTGGAAGCTGATTCAGGCAGAGTGCTCTACAGATGCTAAGGCTAACGAGTGAGGGTCTGTGAGGAACAATATGTTGGTGTCATTTCAGAATATCTCCCCACAGAATGCTGTTCAATTACAAAGGCAAAAATAATGTTTTGGGGTTTTTGTTTTATTTTGTTTTGACACAGGGTCGCTTTGTCAACCCAGACTGGAGTGCAAAGGTGCAATCTCACTGCAGCCTCAATCTCCCAGGCTCAAACCATCCTCCCACTTCAGTCTCCCAGGTAGCTGGGACTACGGGCACGTGCCACCATGCCCAGCTAATTTTTATGTTTTTTTGTAGAGAAGAGGTCTCACTATGTTGCCCACTATTGAACTCCTGAGCTCAAGCAATCCACCTGCCTTGGCCTCCCAAAGTGTTGGGATTACAGGCGTGAGCCACTATGCCTGGCCAAGAAGCCTGACAAACACCAACTTTTCCAGGTAATTAAGGTTAACATTACTAGCAGTGGGACACAGTGACATTGTTTGTCCCACGGCGATGTAATGAGAAGAGCACAGCGCCATTTCTAAAGAATTCCTGCCGAGAACGCATGGCCTCTAATACTAATCAAAAGGAAAAATCAGACAAATCCAATTTGAGGTTCACCCTTGTGATGTGATACAATAAGAAATATACACTTGGTCTTCTGTTCCCCCTCCTGGCACAGAGCTCCTGAAGCCCTTGTAATTTCCTGAGTAATAGGTGTGATAGAAGCATCTTTTATTATAGTATTTTTGTCTTTTTTTTTCCTTTTTTAAATTATTATTATACTTTAAGTTCTAGGGTACATGTGCACAATGTGCAGGTTAGTTACATATGTATACATGTGCCATGCTGGTGTGCTACACCCATTAACTTGTCATTTAGCATTAGGTATATCTCCTAATGCTATCCCTCCCCCCCCCCACCCCACAACAGTCACCAGAGTGTGATGTTCCCCTTCCTGTGTCCATGTGTTCTCATTGTTCAATTCCCATCTATGAGTGAGAACATGTGGTGTTTGGTTTTTTGTCCTTGCGATAGTTTACTGAGAATGATGATTTCCAATTTCACCCATGTCCCTACAAAGGACATGAACTCATCATTTTTTATGGCTGCATAGTATTCCATGGTGTATATGTGCCACATTTTCTTAATCCAGTCTATCATTGTTGGACATTTGGGTTGGTTCCAAGTCTTTGCTATTGTGAATAGTGCCGCAATAAACATACGTGTGCATGTGTCTTTATAGCAGCATGATTTATAGTCCTTTGGGTATATACCCAGTAATGGGATGGCTGGGTCAAATGGTATTTCTAGTCCTAGATCCCCGAGGAATCGCCACACTGACTTCCACAATGGTTGAACTAGTTTACAGTCCTACCAAGAGTGTAAAAGTGTTCCTATTTCTCCACATCCTCTCCAGCACCTGTTGTTTTCTGACTTTTTAATGATTGCCATTCTAACTGCTGTGAGGTGGTATCTCATTGTGGTTTTGATTTGCATTTCTCTGATGGCCAGTGATGATGAGCATTTTTTCATGTGTCTTTTGGCTGCATAAATGTCTTCTTTTGAGAAGTGTCTGTTCATATCCTTTGCCCACTTTTTGATGGGGTTGTTTGTTTTTTTCTTGTAAATTTGTTTGAGTTCATTGTAGATTCTGGATATTAGCCCTTTGTCAGATGAGTAGGTTGCAAAAATTTTCTCCCATTTTGTAGGTTGCCTGTTCACTCTTTTGCTGTGGTAGTTTCTTTTGCTGTGCAGAAGCTCTTTAGTTTAATTAGATCCCATTTGTCAATTTTGGCTTTTGTTGCCATTGCTTTTGGTGTTTTAGACATGAAGTCCTTGCCCATGCCTATGTTCTGAATGGTAATGCCTAGGTTTTCTTCTAGGGTTTTTATGGTTTTAGGTCTAACGTTTAAGTCTTTAATCCATCTTGAATTAATTTTTGTATAATGTGTAAGGAAGGGATCCAGTTTCAGCTTTCTACATATGGCTAGCCAGTTTTCCCAGCACCATTTATTAAATGGGGAATCCTTTCCCCATTGCTTGTTTTTCTCAGGTTTGTCAAAGATCAGATAGTTGTAGATATGCGGCGTTATTTCTGAGGGCTCTGTTCTGTTCCATTGATCTATATCTCTGTTTTGGTACCAGTATCATGCTGTTTTGGTTACTGTAGCCTTGTAGTATAGTTTGAAGTCGGGTAGCGTGATGCCTTCAGCTTTGTTCTTTTGGCTTAGGATTGACTTGGCGATGCAGGCTCTTTTTTGGTTCCATATGAACTTTAAAGCAGTTTTTTCCAATTCTGTGAAGAAAGTCATTGGTAGCTTGATGGGGATGGCATTGAATCTATAAATTACCTTGAGCAGTATGGCCATTTTCACGATATTGATTCTTCCTACCCATGAGCATGGAATGTTCTTCCATTTGTTTGTATCCTCTTTTATTTCATTGAGCAGTGATTTGTAGTTCTCCTTGAAGAGGTCCTTCACATCCCTTGTAAGTTGGATTCCTAGGTATTTTATTCTCTTTGAAGCAATTGTGAATGGGAGTTCATTCATGATTTGGCTCTCTGTCTGTTATTGGTGTATAAGAATGCTTGTGATTTTTGTATATTGATTTAGTGTCCTGAGACTTTGCTGAAGTTGCTTATCAGCTTAAGGAGATTTTTGGGCTGAGACAATGGGGTGTTCTAGATATACAACCATGTCGTCTGCAAACAGGGACAATTTGACTTCCTCTTTTCCTAATTGAATACCCTTTATTTCCTTCTCCTGCCTAATTGCCCTGGCCAGAACTTCCAACACTATGTTGAATAGGAGTGGTGAGAGAGGGCATCCCTGTCTTGTGCCAGTTTTCAAAGGGAATGCTTCCAGTTTTTGCCCATTCAGTATGATATTGGCTGTGGGTTTGTCATAGATAGCTCTTATTATTTTGAGATACATCCCATCAATACCTAATTTATTGAAAGTTTTTAGCATGAAGGGTTGTTGAATTTTGTCAAAGGCCTTTTCTGCATCTATTGAGATAATCATGTGGTTTTTGTCTTTGGTTCTGTTTATATGCTGGATTACATTTATTGATTTGCGTATATTGAACCAGCCTTGCAACCCAGGGATGAAGCCCACTTGATCATGGTGGATAAGCTTTTTGATGTGCTGCTGGATTCGGTGTGCCAATATTTTATTGAGGATTTTTGCATCAATGTTCATCAAGGATATTGGTCTAAAATTCTCTTTTTTGGTTGTGTCTCTGCCCGGCTTTGGTATCAGGATGGTACTGGCCTCATAAAATGAGTTAGGGAGGATTCCCTCTTTTTCTATTGATTGGAATAGTTTCAGAAGGAATGGTACCAGTTCCTCCTTGTACCTCTGGTAGAATTTGGCTGTGAATCCATCTGGTCCTGGACTCTTTTTGGTTGGTAAGCTATTGATTATTGCCACAATTTCAGAGCCTGTTATTGGTCCATTCAGAGATTCAACTTCTTCCTGGTTTAGTCTTGGGAGAGTGTATGTGTCGAGGAATTTATCCATTTCTTCTAGATTTTCTAGTTTATTTGCATAGAGGTGTTTGTAGTATTCTGTGATGGTAGTTTGTATTTCTGTGGGATCGGTGGTGATATCCCCTTTATCATTTTTTATTGCATCTATTTGATTCTTCTCTCTTTTTTTCTTTATTAGTCTTGCTAGCGGTCTATCAATTTTGTTGATCCTTTCAAAGAACCAGCTCCTGGATTCATTAATTTTTTGAAAGGCTTTTTTTGTCTCTATTTCCTTCAGTTCTGCTCTGATTTTAGTTATTTCTTGCCTTCTGCTAGCTTTTGAATGTGTTTGCTCTTGCTTTTTGAGTTCTTTTAATTGTGATGTTAGGGTGTCAATTTTGGATCTTTCCTGCTTTCTCTTGTGGGCATTTAGTGCTATAAATTTCCCTCTACACACTGCTTTGAATGTGTCCCAGAGATTCTGGTATGTTGTGTCTTTGTTCTCGTTGGTTTCAAAGAACATCTTTATTTCTGCCTTCATTTTGTTATGTACCCAGTAGTCATTCAGGAGCAGGTTGTTCAGTTTCCATGTAGTTGAGTGGTTTTGAGTGGGTTTCTTAATCCTGAGTTCTAGTTTGATTGCATTGTGGTCTGAGAGACAGTTTGTTATAATTTCTGTTCTTTTACATTTGCTGAGGAGAGCTTTACTTCCAGCTATGTGGTCAATTTTGAAATAGGTGTGGTGTGGTGCTGAAAAAAATGTATATTCTGTTGATGTGGGGTGGAGAGTTCTATAGATGTCTATTAGGTCTGCTTGGTGCAGAGCTGAGTTCAATTCCTGGGTATCCTTGTTAACTTTCTGTCTCGTTGATCTGTCTAATGTTGACAGTGGGGTGTTAAAGTCTCCCATTATTATTGTGTGGGAGTCTAAGTCTCTTTGTAGGTCACTCAGGACTTGCTTTATGAATCTGGGTGCTCCTGTATTGGGTGCATATATATTTAGGAAAGTTAGCTCTTCTTGTTGAATTGATCCCTTTACCATTATGTAATGGCCTTCTTTGTCTCTTTTGATCTTTGTTGGTTTAAAGTCTGTTTTTCAGATACTAGGATTGCAACCCCTGCCTTTTTTTGTTTTCCATTTGCTTGGTAGATCTTCCTCCATCCTTTTATTTTGAGCCTATGTGTGTCTCTGCACGTGAGATGGGTTTCCTGAACACAGCACACTGATGGCTCTTGACTCTTTATCCAATTTGCTAGTCTGTGTCTTTTAATTGGAGCATTTAGTCCATTTACATTTAAAGTTAATATTGTTATGTGTGAATTTGATCCTGTCATTATGATGCTAGCTGGTTATTTTGCTCGTTAGTTGATGCAGTTTCTTCCTAGTCTCGATGGTCTTTACATTTTGGCATGATTTTGCAGTGGCTGGTACTGGTTGTGCCTTTCCATGTTTAGTGCTTCCTTCAGGAGCTCTTTTAGGGCAGGCCTGGTGGTGACAAAATCTCTCAGCATTTGCTTGTCGGTAAAGTATTTTATTTCTCCTTCACTTATGAAACTTAGTTTGGCTGGATATGAAATTCTGGGTTGAAAATTCTTTTCTTTAAGAATGTTGAATATTGGCCCCCACTCTCTTCTGGCTTGTAAGAGTTTCTGCTGAGAGATCCGCTGTTAGTCTGATGGGCTTCCCTTTGTGGGTAACCCGACTTTTCTCTCTGGCTGCCCTTAACATTTTTTCCTTCATTTCAACTTTGGCGAATCTGACAATTATGTGTCTTGGAGTTGCTCTTCTCGAGGAGTATCTTTGTGGCGTTCTCTGTATTTCCTGAATCTGAATGTTGGCCTGCCTTGCTAGATTGGGGAAGTTCTCCTGGATAATATCCTGCAGAGTATTTTCCAACTTGGTTCCATTCTCCCCGTCACTTTCAGGTACACCAATCAGACACAGATTTGGTCTTTTCACATAGTCCCATATTTCTTGGAGGCTTTGTTCGTTTCTTTTTATTCTTTTTTCTCTAAACTTCCCTTCTCGCTTCATTTCATTCATTCATCTTCCATCACTGATACACTTTCTTCCAGTTGATCGCATCGGCTCCTGAGGCTTCTGCATTCTTCAAGTAGTTCTTGAGCCTTGGCTTTCAGCTCCATCAGCTCCTTTAAGCACTTCTCTGTATTGGTTATTCTAGTTATACATTCATCTAAATTTTTTTCAAAGTTTTCAACTTCTTTGCCTTTGGTTTGAATTTCCTCCTGTAGCTCGGAGTAGTTTGATCGTCTGAAGCCTTCTTCTCTCAACTTGTCAAAGTCATTCTCCATCCAGCTTTGTTCCGTTGTTGGTGAGGAACTGCGTTCCTTTGGAGGAGGAGAGGCGCTCTGCTTTTTAGAGTTTCCAGTTTTTCTGCTCTGTTTTTTTCCCCATCTTTGTGGTTTTATCTACTTTTGGTCTTTGATGATGGTGATGTACAGATGGGTTTTTGGTGTGGATGTCCTTTCTGTTTGTTAGTTTTCCTTCTAACAGACAGGAACCTCAGCTGCAGGTCTGTTGGAGTTTGCTAGAGGTCCACTCCAGACCCCGTTTGCCTGGGTATCAGCAGCGGTGTCTGCAGAACCGCGGATTTTCGTGATCCACGAATGCTGCTGTCTGATCGTTCCTCTGGAAGTTTTGTCTCAGAGGAGTACCCGGCTGTGTGAGGTGTCAGTCTGCCCC
Source organism: Homo sapiens (assembly GCF_000001405.40). NCBI lineage: Eukaryota > Metazoa > Chordata > Mammalia > Primates > Hominidae > Homo > Homo sapiens. Next base: position 205,406,112 of record NC_000001.11, read on the forward strand.
TACTGGGGGGTGCCTCCCAGTTAGGCTGCTCGGGGGTCAGGGGTCAGGGACCCACTTGAGGAGGCAGTCTGCCCATTCTCAGATCTCCAGCTGCGTACTGGGAGAACCACTGCTCTCCTCAAAGCTGTCAGACAGGGACATTTAAGTCTGCAAAGGTTACTGCTGTCTTTTTGTTTGTCTGTGCCCTGCCCCCAGAGGTGGAGCCTACAGAGGCAGGCAGGCCTCCTTGAGCTGTGGTGGGCTCCACCCAGTTCGAGCTTCCTGGCTGCTTTGTTTACCTAAGCGAGCCTGGGCAATGGCGGGCGCCCCTCCCCCAGCCTGGCTGCCGCCTTGCAGTTTGATCTCAGACTGCTGTGCTAGCAATCAGCGAGACTCTGTGGGCGTAGGACCCTCACATCCAGGTGTGGGATATAATCTCCTGGTGCACCGTTTCCTAAGCCTGTCGGAAAAGCGCAGTATTCGAGTGGGAGTGGCCCGATTTTCCAGGTGCCATCTGTCACCCCTTTCCTTGACCAGGAAAGGGAACTCCCTGACCCCTTGTGCTTCCAGAGTGAGGCAATGCCTCACCCTGCTTTGGCTCGCACATGGTGCGCTGCACCCACTGTCCTGCGCCCACTGTCTGACACTCCCCAGTGAGATGAACCTGGTACCTCAGATGGAAATGCCGAAATCACAGCGTCTTCTGTGTCGCTCACGCTGGGAGCTGTAGACAGGAGCTGTTCCTATTTGGCCATCTTGGCTCCTCCCCCCAATATTTTTGTCTTATTCCTAGGTTCCTGACACAAGAACTTCTAAGGACCCTTGGAATCTCTGGAGCTACAAGAGTTATCTTTTTGTATGCTAATGAGTTGGCTGGTGCCCAAAGACCCTTAGACAGCTTCAAAATGGGGTCTGGTCGTCAGAAAGGCCAACCATGTGATAAGAAGATTTGAACTTGGGACTGGGCACGGTGGCTTAGACCTGTAATCCCAGCACTTTGAGAGCCTGAGGCGGGTGGATCACGAGGTCAGGAGTTCAAGACCAGCCTAGCCAACATGATGAAACCCTGTTTTTACTAAAAATATAAAAATTAGCCAGGTGTGGCAGCACGTGCCTGTAATCCCAGCTACTTGGGAGGCTGAGGCAGGAGAACTGGTTGAACCTGGGAGGGGGAGGTTGCAGTAAGCTGAAATCGCACCATTGCACTCCAGCCTGGGCAACACAGAAAGACCCCATCTCAAAAAAAAAAAAAAAAAAAAGGATTTGAACTTGGAGCCCCACCCCCTGACCTCCAGGTAGAGGAGGGGAGCTGAAGGTTGAATTAATCACTGATAGCCAATGATTCAGTCAATCATGCGTAAGTAACAGAACCTCCATAAAACTCCTAAAAGACAGAGTTTAGAGAGTTTCTGAGTTGGTGAACGCATTAAGGTACTTAGAGGGCAGCGCGCCCAGAGAAAGCATGGAAACTCTGCGTCTCTTGCCCTAGACCTTGCCCCCTGCATCTCTCCCATTGGCTGTTTCTGAGCTGTATCCTTTAAAATACACTGGTAAGGAAAGAGCACTCCTGAGTTCTGCAAGCTGTTCTAGCAAGTTAGCAAATCCAAGGTGTTGTGGGAACCCTTGATTTTTAGTGAGTCAGTTAGAAGTATGGGAGACCCAGGACTTGAGATTGGCATTTTAAGTCGGGGGCTGGACTGAGCCCCTTAACCTGTGGGATCTGACGCTAACTCCAGGTCTATAGTGTCAGAATTCTACTGAATTGTTGGATACCTGGCTGGTGTCTGGAGAGTTGGAGAACTGGTTGGCATGAGGAAAAAAACCCACACATTTGGCATCACAAGTGTTTTGTGGGTAGAGATAGTTCCTAGTAACCCTACAGAATGAATGGCCTGTACTCTTGAAAACTGTCAAGGGCAGGAATGACAGGGAAAGACTGAGGCACCGTGGCTCCAGATCGAAGGAGAAGGAAGAGATGACAACTAAAGAGAGCGTGTGTTCCTGGAGTGGTTGTGGATGAGAAAGCAAAAAGACATCGTTGGGACAGTTGGTGAAACTTGCATGGGGTCTGAGTACTGGTTGGAAGCAATGAATCAGCGTGGATTTCCTTATCTGGAGGATCATATGGTGGTTATGTAGGAGAGTGTCCTTTGGTAGGCAGAATACTTACTGGGGAGCCCAGGGGCTTCATGTCTGCAATTTGCTCTCAAATCATTCAGAAAGAGACAATGGTAGGGTACACACACACACACACACACACTCCTCAAATGTGGTACCAGGTACCAACTGAGGAACTGGAGTGGAAGGAATGTGGGAGGTGTTTGTACTATCCTTGCAAGTTTCTGTAAGTTTGAAAATATTTCGAGAGGTGTGGAAAAAGATTTAATAACTTTTTCTTTCTTTCTTTCTTTCTTTTTTTTTTTTTTTTGAGACAGGATCTCACTCTGTCACCCAAGCTGGAGTGCATTGGTGCCATCACGGCTCACTGCAGCCTCGACCTGGGCTCAAGCCATCCTTTCACCTTGGCCTCCCAAGTAGCTGGGACCACAGGTGCACACCACCATGCCCAGCTAATTTTTTTGCAATTATTGTAGAGATGGGGTTTTGCCATGTTGCCCAGGCTAGTCTCGAACTCCTGGGCTCAAGTGATCCTCCCTCCTTGACCTCCCAAAGTGCTGAGATTAAAGAAGCGAGCCATCAAGCTCAGCTAAATTTAAGTATAAGATTAAGAAGGAGTCCCAAATACCGGAAGGGCACATGTGACTTAAACAAACAACAACAACAAAAAACAAGGCCTCTGTGACCCAGGCAGGAGTGCAAGTGGCATGATCTGAGATCCTGGGCTCAGGTGATCCTCCCACCTCAGCCTGTCAAGTAGCTGAGACCACAGGTGTGCACCACCACACCGGGCTAATTTTTTGTGTTTTTAGTAGAGACAGGGTTTCACCGTGTTGCCCAGGCTGATCTTGAACTCCCGGGCTCAAGCAATCCACCCACCTCAGCCTCTCAAAGTGCTGGGATTACAGGCATAAGCCACCAAGCCTGGCCGGCATATTATTGTTTTTTAAAGTTCAGTCTGCCTCATTCAACACGCAGGGCTTACAGAAAGTAATCTTTAATTGTATCTGTATATTTACTTCTATAAATATATCTGTAGGCTCTCGATAAATCACATTCTGCAGCACTTAAAAGTTCAATACTAAACATTCATTTTCCATTATGTTATTTTTCACTAAGTATGTTGTGTTGTACTACAGGTAATTAAATATCATGCTTTTCATGTAACAATAATGTTAATGATAATAATAGCTCTTATTTGTACTTGCCTCTTATTACATATACATATACTACCCTGCTTTGCATATTTTAACTCAATCTTCACAACACTCTGTGAGGTTGATACTGTTCTTAACCTTATTTATAGATGAGGAAACTAAGACATAGAGAGGTTGAGTGTCTTGTCCAAGTTAGTAGTAGAGCTGAGATTTGAACCCAGGCAGTCTGGCTCTACAGTCTTTTTTTTTTTTTAAGAGAAGGCCTCACTCTGTTGCCCAGGCTGGAGTACAGTGGCATGAACTTGGCTCACTGCAGCCTCAACCTCCTAAGCTCAAGCAATCCTCCTGCCTCAGCCTCCTGAGTAGCTTGGGACCACAAGCATGCGTGCCACTATGCCCAGTTAATTAATTTTTTTTTTTTTTTGAGACAGAGTTTTGCGCTTGTTGCCCAGGCTGGAGGGCAATGGCACTATCTCAGCTCACTGCAACCTCCACCTCCTGGGTTCAAGTGATTCTCCTGCCTCAGCCTCTGGAGTATCTGGGATTACAGGCATGCACCACCACGCCCAGCTAATTTTTTTGTATTTTTAGTAGAGATGGAGTTTCACCATGTTGGCCATGGTTGGTCTTGAACTCCTGACCTCAGGTGATCTACCCACCTCGGCCTCCCAAAGTGCTGGGATTACAGGCGTGAGCCACCGTGCCCAGCCCCCAGTTAATTTATTTTTATTTTTCTTGTAGAGATGGGTTCTTGTCATGTTGCCCAAACTGGTCTTGCACTCCTGGGCTCAAGTGATCCTCCTGCCTCAGCCTCCCAAAGTGCCAATATTACAAGCATGAGCCACCACACCTGGCAGAATCCATATTTTTGATACCCATATTCTTTGTTTCCAGAGCTCATTTTCAAGTTTCTTCATGATAGGATCTATGCCTTTTTCTGCACTTATATTCTTCCTCAAGAAAATCTAGCACAATGTCCTGTATTCAATAAATAGTTATTGACTCACAGGCTGAGATCCAGGGGTGGAAACTCTGTTGCAACCATTCCCTGAATGGTCATCCATTCACAATGATCTAAGCATCATCTCTCAAGAGACTACATCAAGGTACATCTAAGAGACAACGTATATGGTACAGAATAGGAAGTCAGAAAGAGAAAGATCATCAACATCAGTAGAGGAAAGCTCCTTTCAGTTCAGCCAACAGGGACTGAGTAAGTCCCTGCCCCACCCCCAAATGCCTGGCATGGAATTCAATGCAGAGGAGTCAAATTATGGGTTTTCACCTTCAACATTTTACAGCCTGCGGCAAAAACTCCTGGGCAGGGGTGGGGTGGAGACTGAATGAAAAAGTAGCGAGGCATGGTGCCCCGTGCCTGTAGTCCCAGCTACTTGGGAGGCTGAGGCCAGAGGTTAACTTGAGCTCAAGGAGGTCAAGGCTGCAGTGAATTATGATGATGCCACTGCACTCCAGCCTGGGCAACAGAATGAGTCTCCGTGAGAAAGGAAAGAAAGAAAAGAAAAGAAAGCAAAGGAAGGAAGGAAGGAAGGACAGGAAAGAAAAGAGAAAGAAAGGAAGGGAAAGGAAGAAATAGAGAAAGAAAGAAGGAAAGAAAGGAAGGAAGGAAAGAAAAGAAAAGGAGGGAGGGAGAGAGGAAGGAAGGAAGGGAAAGAAGGAAGGAAGGCAGGAAGGGAGAGAGGGAAAGAAAGAAATGAAGGAAAAAGAAGAAAGAAAAAAGAAAGAAAGGAAGGAGGGAGGGAGGGAAAGAAAGGAAGGAAGGAAAAAGAAAGAAGAAAGAGAGAGAGAAAGAAGGAAAGAAGGAAAGGAAGGAAGGAAGGAAGAAAGAAAGAAAGGAAGGAAGGAGGGAGGGAGGGAAAGGAAGGAAGGAAGGAAGGAAAAAGAAAGAAGAAAGAAAGAGAGGGCCAGGCGCAGTGGCTCACGCCTGTAATCCCAGCACTTTGGGAGGCCGAGGCGGGCGGATCACGAGGTCAGGAGATCAAGACCACGATGAAACCCCTTCTCTACTAAAAATACAAAAATTTAGCCGGGCGTGGTGGCGGGCGCATGTAGTCCCAGCTACCCGGAGAGGCAGAGGCAGGAGAATGGCGTGAACCCGGGAGGCGGAGCTTGCAGTGAGCCAAGATTGTGCCACTGCACTCCAGCCTAGGCCACAGAGTGAGACTCCGTCTCAAAAAAAAAAAAAAGAAAGAAGGAGAGAGGAAAGGAAGGAAGGAAGGTAGGAAGGAAAGAAGGAAAGAAGGAAGGAAGGAAGGAAAAGAGAAAGAAAGGAAAGAAAGAAAGAAAGAAAAGAAAGAAAGAAAGAAAGAAAGAAAAAGGAAGAAAGAAAGAAAGAGAAAGAAAGAAAAGAAAAGAAAGACTGATTCTTGGGCCCAGACCCACAGAATGTGCAGGATGGGTGGGAAGATGAGAAGAGAGCATGCAGGCTGGGAGAACAGAGTAAACTGAGATTCTGGCAGGGACGAGCATGTTGTGCTTGGGAGAGGGTAAAGAAACACCCAGGTGGCCCAGGAGGGCTCAGAAGTACACACCTCCCAGGGCCAGCTGCCCTCTGGTTGTTGGATGCAGCAGCCCTCTGAAGATGGGACACAGATATAAACACTTCCAACCTTGGAACCGCTCCCAAACCCAGGACCATTTGCCCCTATTTGCCCAAGATAGTCCCAGTTTACTCCTATTGTTCCAGCATCCCTTCAGGTTAGTGTCCTTTTTCAAAAGCATACTGGTCAGGATGATAAATTATACGGCCACCTTACTCAAAGCCCATTTTATGTAGCTTGACATTGTAGATTACTCTGCCTCCCTACCAATCAACCCCAAATCCCATTTTCCCGTTTGGTAGAAGGGCACTTAGAGACTGAGTTACACATACTGACTTAATGTCCCACTCCGTTATTGGTAACATAAGCTGTGCCTAGTGTCTTTCTGATGGAAAAAATCCCCAATTAAAAAAAAAAATTTGACCTGGCTTAATGAGTGTTTTTAACGACCAAATCCAATGGGCTGCATATGTGATTTGATAAAGCAGACACATACAGTGTTAAAAAGAGTCCAGAAACTGCATATTCCATATCTCTAAGTGGCTTGCATTCCACTAGAAAACAACTAAAAATGAGAGGAAAATGTGGTATTTCAAAGAAATGCAAATACTACCTATCTAGGCACTCAGAAGACTGTTAGGTACAAACAAATGCTCTTAAGTAATTAAAGTCTACAGTGTTAGACAAGTGTCTCAATAAATACACCTTCTACCACCTTTTACATGGAAATGTGAATGCTTATTTACATTTCCTTTCAGATTTAAGGATGAACAGATGTCTTGAGGCCCTTCTGAGAATGAAAATGGCTTATATAAATCCTTCAAATCAAAACATTTTATGCCATCGCAAACTTCCTATTTAATTCTATTGCCAATTCAAAATATCGATGTGGTTTTATTTCAGGTTTATGTAAAGTGGAGACCGAAGGCCACTGGTCCTAGCTGATGCATTTGCCATACTCAGGTTGCTTTTTCTGCTGCAGCATCTTTGCAGGAACTATATTAAAGGGTTTTCTGCAGAACTGAGGTTTACCGAATGGAAAGGATTCCTTTAATGAGCTATTTGGAAGTTAAAATATACTTTTAGAAATTTTGGTATGATATCAGAATTACTTCATCAAATTTGAACTATGTTTAAACGGGAAGCTGAAGCTATAGCATACATGGCAATGTTTACTTGAAGATTTCTTTTCATTTGTTTAAACTTAGCAACTAGTTTAAATACCAGACCATATTTGCAAACTAACCTTTTTGCCATTGGAGCTGTTTGGTAGATTTGGTGAGGTGAGCTTTGAACTCCTACTATGTGCAAGACCCTGTGATAGCTACTAAATGAGGATAAAATATCATTTTATTTTTTATTTTAATTTTTATTATTTTTTTGAGACAGGGTCTCGCTCTGTCACCCAGGCTAGAGTGCAGTGGTGTCATCATGGCTTACTGCAGCCTCGACATCCCAAGCCTCAAGAGATTCTCCTACCTCAGCCTCCTGAGTAGCTGGGACCACAGGTGCGCATCACCATGTACAGTTAATTTTTACAATTTTTGTAGAGATGAGGTGTCACCATCTTTCCCAGGCTGGTCTCAAACTCCTGGGCTCAAGCCAGCCTCCTACCTCAGCCTCCTGAATAGCTGGGATGACATGTGCGTGTCACCATGCCCAACTTTTTTTTTTTTTTTTTTTTTTTTTTGGAGATATGAGGTGTTGCTATGTTGCCCAGGATAAAATGCCATTTTTTTTTTTTTTGAGAGTCTCCTCTCACTCTGTCACCCAAGCTGGAGTGTAGCTGCACAATCTCGGCTCATTGCAACCTCTGCCTCCCGAGTTCAAGTGATTCTTGTGCCTTAGCCTCCTGAGTAGCTGGGACAACAGACACATGCCACCATGCCCAGATAATTTTTTGTATTTTTAGTAGAGACAGGGTTTCGCCATGTTAGCCAGACTGGTCTCGAACTCCTGGCCTCAAGTGATCCACCCATCTTAATGCCATTTTAAAAGGACTCACAGAAGTGGCCATTGAGATATTCCTTAAAAGATCACAGGGTTTTAACAGGAAGAAAAATGTGGTAGGGGGTGAGAAGAGTGAAAAGAATTTCAGGCATAAAGAACAGTTGAAGTAATGGTTCATGGGAAGACAGTGTGAGAGGTGCAGAAACAAGGTAAGAATTTGTTGGGTTGGATGATGAGGGAGATGAGGTTACAGGAGATACTGGAGTTGACTCATGGTGTATAGCAAGTTTGCATCTTGTTTTGAAAGTCTCTGGACAAGTCAGTAACATGATTAAATCTCTGCTTGTAGATCTGAACTGGAATTGGGAAAAGTTAGAGGCAAACACAGGAGGATTTTGCAATTGTTCAAATAAAATAATAATATGGAGGCCGGGCAAGGTGGCTGATGCCTGTAATCCCAGTGCTTTGAGAGGCCAAGGCAAGAGGATCACTCGAGGCCAAGAGTTCGAGACCAGCCTGGGCGACAGCGTGAGACCCCTGTCTCTACAAAAAAAAAAAAAGTTTTTTTTGAGATGGGGTCTCATGCTATTGCCCAGGCTGGAGTGTAGTGGTGTGATCATGGCTCACTGCAGCCTCAACCTCCCAGGCTCAAGCAGTCCTCCCACCTCAGCCCCCCAAGTAGCTGGGATCACAGGTGTGCACCACCACACCCAGCCAGTTTTTTTATTTTGTAGAGACATGGTCTCCCTAGGTTGCCCAGGCTGAGTCTTGAACTCTTGAGCTCAGGCAATCCTTCCACCTTGGCCTCCTAAAGTGCTGGGATTACAGGAGTAAGCCACCATGCCCGGCCAGAATTGTTTTTCAGTTACCCAGGTGTGGTGGAGTGTACCTGTAGTCCTAGCTACTTGGGAGGCTGAGGGAGGAGTATTGCTTGAGCCCAGGAGTTCGAGATTACAGTGAGATATCATGGTGCCACTGCACTCCAGCCTGGGTAACAGAATGAGACCCTGTCTCTAAAATAAATAAATAAGTAATGTGGGTGCAAGCTAGGATAGCAGCAGGGGGAAGAGACAGAAGGGATGGATTTTTTAACATCATTCAGATCCCTAAGACTTGGCAGCTCTTTGTATGTGAAGAGCTGCAGGGAGGGGGCAGTCCAGTAACTCCAAGGCTTTGAGCCTGGACAGTGGGGAGGTTGTGGAAACATCAGGATAAACCCAGGCCGCAGATGCAGGTTTAGGGTGGGCTGAAATGTGCATGGTCATTCCTGGACACCTGAGCCTGAGGTACAGGGGGATAACCATGGGGAGAAGCATGAACACGTCTGTGTAACCCACAAAATGTTCATGAAGTTAGGTAACCATTTGTCAAATGAATGCAGGAAGAAGCGAGGAAGGAAGGGAAAGAGAAGGAAAAGGGAGGCACTTCCCAGTAGGCAGTTGGATATGCAGACCTGTGCCTCAGGAGAGAAGCGTGTGTGGGGACGCCGCAAAGAGGGGGTGAGGGAATCACACTGAGCAGAGGCTGAAGGAGGAGGTCTCAGGCACAGGCACATCAGGGGCCAAGAGGAAGACAAAAAGTCAGAATAGAAACAGAGATACAGAACCAAGAACCAAAGAGTGGCAGAATTCTGAAATCTAAGAAGGCAGGCATCTCCAAATAAAAATGGTCAGAGGTCAAAAGACAGAAAAAGTCACTAGAGTTGGCACCTTGGAGTTCATTATTAAGCACTAGTTATGGGCTGTGTTTGATGCTCAGAGATTTTCCTGCCTTTAACTTCGCATCCACCCTGTGAGGTAGGCACTGCTGTTAAACTGTGCTAGGAGGCTTAGATCTGTTCACTGACTTCCCCAAAATCACGCTTCCAGGAAGCTGAGGGCAGAAATCCTAAGCCAGTTAGGCCTCACCCCAAAACCTGTAACCCTCACACATTTGGCCGTGTGCTTCAATACGGTGCTGGGGGTAGAAGCCAGATGTTAGGGGCTAGAAAAGCGAACGGGATGGAAACTCACATTTATTCTATGTTCACTGTGGGCCCAGAACCAAGCTAAGTGCTATATGTGAATGTAGACAACAGATAGTGAAAATGGGGAGGGGGCGTGACAGCTGGGGAAAGCAGAGTGGTGGCTTTTTTAAGAAGGGGCAGGAGGGACCCTGTCATTCTGGGTCCTCTGCTAGATCATGGAAATTTTTTCATCATACAGAAATCTGCATTAAAATGATCCTCTTTAAACTAGGATTTTACCACTATAACAGAATGTAGTGACTTGCTATCCCCTTTCTTAATACAGATGAACAGAGCTACTCCCTGTTTTTAATATATGGGTATAAGTATTCAGGCATTAGAATGGTACATACTTTTTTGAGTTTCTTGCTTTTTTCTGTTGAGAGTATGATATTTCCTTGCAAAATGATATTAAGCTCTGGATCATGGGAAACAAAAGGAAAATAGGCCATGAGAACATTTGAGCTAGCAAAGGGAATAAACATCAATCACCAGGGTGAATTCTCTCAATTAGAGGACATTTTTGCAAGGGGATGAAAATTCACGTGGCTCTTCTGACGGAAGAGAACATTTCTCCTGAGCTGGAGCAGCCTTTGTGAAACAGACTTAGGCCTTCCTCTGGGAATAAGGCCTGTCATATTTGCATGCCTCCAAGAGAAATACACAAGCTGGCTGCCCATCTGGGCAGCTGTTTGCAGTCTAGTCATTGTCCCTTTGAACCAGCTGTAAGCCCCATGCATCCCTGAATGCCAAGATAGGAAGGGAGGATTTTCTCCTTCTGGATCCAAAAAGGCACCCAGGGAAGGCAAGGCCAGACCTGTGCTAAAAGCCTTTAAAATTGGGGGAACTGCTAGGGACGGAAAAGGATGTTGTTAATTAGCCTGCAAAGAAGCATTTTGATAAACCTAGAGGAATGGTGGAGTTGCACATCCATTTTAAATGAGCTCTCCAAGTCAAAAATATTTGGAAAGTTTGAAAGCAGTTAGATAATTAAAGCTGTGTCTCCCCACTGACAAGACAGTCAGTTAGTGAAAATGAGAAAAATCAAACCCACTGATTGTTTGGATGACCTCATACTCAGCCTCAGGTCTAGGACTCCCTGCACCTCCACCGCCACTACAAGCCCATTCCAGGACTAGGTGTTTCCATGAAAGGAGAAGGCTAAGTCCACAGGATACCCCCGTCCAGTTCATTACAACTCCTCCACTCTAATGGTACCAGTGGCTATGAGACTTTTCCAATGAGCAAATTCAAATGTATGGTTCAAACCTAACTTGGAGAACCAGGTTTGCTACTTGTGGCAACCACAGAATTGCATTACAAGGGTAGGACTGAATCAACGCTTCCACCTCGACCTGATGGCCCGTAGTTGGCTTAGATCAGGTAGGCACTATCTAAAGCAGTGGCAAACCTTATAAACAGAAGGACCAATTTTCTCCTAGCCCTAGCATCAACGCACTTCTGTAGAGGGCTACATGCTGGGACCCAGGACGGCGGGGACTGAGACCACAACAGCTTGGTTTTGTAGCTTTAACCCGAAGTCCTGGGAAGTCGTGAACAGTTCTGAAATCTTCAACCTGGCATTGCTTTTCACCAGAGTGTTGGTTTGGTCTCTTGAGCCCCTCCCCAGGGCAGGAAACAGAAGCAGGCTTGGATCTGGGACAGGACTCTGAACACAATCTACAACCAGGAGAGGCCTGGGGTAGCCACTTTCCCTGAGGCACCCCCGTGCTAACTGCCTGCTCAAGGGCCAGTGAAGTTTATCCCTAAACCTTGCCATCCTTTTCAAGTGAGGCCAGCGGTGCAAAACCCCTGGGGAAAGCTTTCAGTATCTGTGCCGCCTCCAATGTCGGGATTACAGGATTTTTCAGAGGGCCCCAGGCACTTGCATGGTTTATCCAGTTTTTAATTTGAACTATATGATATTGTCCTTTTTTTGTAGATCAGACATGGTAAAAAAAAAAAAAAATGTAATGTGGTCACACGCTCACAATAGAAATTACGAGAAAAATGTAGGGTATGGAGTGGAAAGAGCAAAGTTTGGAGAGCCAGACTGGGTCCAAATCTCAGTTCTCTCACTTTCTTTCATCCAACAAACATACACCAAGTTCTGCTATGTGCCTGGAACTGTTCCAGGAGCTGGACACAGAGTGGTGACAAAGACAGATGGGTCCCGCTCTGCATGGCCCGTGCTAACGTATGCTTATCTTCTGGGGCTGCTTCCGAGCTCAGTGATGCTGGGCCAGTCACTTGGCCTCTCTGAGCTTCTACTAAGTGCTGTGAGAGTTAAATGGGATGATGAGCATTCGGCCCAGGTTGCACTGGTGGCCTTCAATAAATGGTAGTTCCTGTCATTCTACTGTGGCTCATAGAGAACTCATGATAAATATTTGTTGAATGGAAATGCCTTGGAATGTATTGTGGGAATCCCCAAGCCCTTCCCCTAAGATCCCTGAAGCTAGAAACCACTGCAGGAGAATGGTGTACCCAGAGCAGGGGCCACTGTCAGCAAAGCCCAGAGATCCTGGAGACCCCTGTTCCCTACCCATTCTGTGACCTGAAAGAGACCAGCTGCTGTCAGTTGTCATATAAATCAGGAGGGCAGTCAGCATAGGAGGGGTTTCAGGGAGGTATAATCTGGTTCATCTTTTTTTTTAGACGGAGTCTCGCTCTGTCCACTGGGCTGGAGTACAGTGGTGCCATCTTGGCTCACTGCAACCTCCGCCTCCCTGGTTCAGGCGATTCTCCTGCCTCAGCCTCCCGAGTAGCTGGGATTACAGGTGCGTGCCATCACGCCCAGCTAATTTTTGTATTTTTAGTAGAGACGAGGTTTCACCATGTTGGCCAGGCTGGTCTCGAATTCCTGGCCTCAGGTGCTCCGCCTGCCTCGGCCTCCCAAAGTGCTGGAATTACATGTAGGTGGGAGCCATCAGTGTGGCTCATCTTTCTTAATAGGCATAAAATCATTTAATCCCCCCAAAATAATGGTCAGATTTATCAACTGAGGCAAAGCAGAAGTTGAGTCCTCAAAGGAGGCCCAGAATTTACCTGTAGGAATTTCTGATTGTAAGGCATCACCACACATTTGGCTCTAGTTAGTAAAAGGACATGCACGTTGAGCAGTCATTCCCCCAACTTTCCACCCAGTTAAGTCACTGGCGTGAATACAGATGTGAAGTTAACAGATTCTTTTTACAGCCCAGGGGCCTATTTTCCAGGCTTTCTGTGCAAAGAGGCCCTATGGCTATTTCACAGGTCAGGCTGCACACCATTTAAAGCTGCATAAATCATGCTGGACAAGGTATTAATAAGTGCAAAGTTGCCATCTAGCAGTACAGCTTATGGCGGTACCTTCGCTGTCATCACTGTCCTGCGCTCCATCCAGCTCTCTGGGTCCATTCATCACAGGTGGTGCACAGGGAGGTGAGACCAACAACTGTACTAACTTTTTTTCATACAACTTTCTGGTGGAAGCTGAGGAAGAATTTGGAGAACAAATTAAATTGTTCTGTTTTTTGTATATGAGCCTACTAGGTTCAAGGTATTTCATAACTCAGAATTTTATTCTTAACCCTTACATTATTGGTTAATTATGGCTTTTATTTGAGACAGGGTCTCACTGTGTCTCCCAAGCTTGGTGCAGTAGCTTGATCTCAGCTCACTGAAGCCTCTGCCTCCCATATTCAAGCGATTCTCCGGCCTCAGCCCCTCCAGCAGCTGGGACCACAGGTTCGCCACCACACTCGGCTAATTTTTGTGTTTACTTTAGTAGAGACGAGGTTTCGCCATGTTGGCCAGGCTGATCTTGAATTCCTGACCTCAAGTGATCCACCCGCCTCGGCCTCCCAAATTGCTGGGATTACAGACATGAGCCACTGCGCCCTGCCCAATTACGGCTTTTTAAATGAGGTAGACTCATAGCTATTCAACTCTCTCCTTCCTTTCCACACACTTAGGTGATACCTGTATGGATTAACCACAGAGTCAGGCATTGGACACATCTGAGAACACAGACAAGGCTGTGCATCCTATCTATGGGGAATACAGATAATAAATAAATAGTTAACAGGGTCCACATACTAAAAACAAAACAAAAAAATTGAACAACATAATAAAGAGTAACTGGTTTTTCACTGATGAAAAACACCCAATCCATGCGCTGGGTGTGGTGACTCACGCCTGTAATTCCAGCACTTTGGGAGGCCAAGGCAGGTGGAGTACCTGAGGTCAGAAGTTCGAGACAAGCCTGGCCAACATGGTGAAACCCTGTCTCTACAAAATACAAAATCATTAGTGGGGCATGGTGGTGTGCACCTGTAATCCCAGCTGCTTGGGAGGCTCAGGCAGGAGAATCGCTTGAATCTGGGAGGCAGAGGTTGCAGTAAGACAAACACCCAATCCTAATCTGTAAATAGGATTTGGGTATATTTACCGCCTCTTCCCTCTTTGTGGTTTTCTGTTTTCTCTATGTTCCTATTTCTATTTTAATGGCTTTACTGCATATGTTCCTTCTATTGTAAGTTGTTTATAAACCATAAATGACAAGTCTGTAATATTTGCTGCATACTGTACATACGTAGTATTGGGCCAGGTGAAAATCCAAGCTTCTCAAGTTGGTTCTGCAATTTACAGTCACTCAGACACTTCACATCCACCATGATGATAGAAGTTTGGCCTCTTTTCTGATGGTAGAATCCTTGAAATAACAAAACATTAAATTCATTAAGACAGCCTTACCAATAAGTACTAAAATGTTACCAATCCACATAAGTGTTTATAATCCTATCTCCCCAACCTCCTAGGTGCACAGGCAATAAAGCAAAAATCAACACTTTCTAGTTCTGCCATAAATCCCTGCTGGGATTAGTTGCCTCCAATGTAAAACTTTGGATGGGTGTCATTTTCCCCAGTGTCTTTAGGGCTCAATTAGTTACAACTGTTCTGTTCAATGAATATGAGAAAAATCTTCTGGACAAAATAAACAGATATTTCCATTACTGCTCAGGAACTCTGAGCAAAACTCAAGCTCTGAGAAGATAAGAAGTTAATTAAATATGAAAGAGCTGAGAGGTTTTTTTTTTTTTTTTAGTGAGTTAAATAAAAGTTATTTATCCCTGCCCTCCTTTTGATGACAGGACAGAGAGTACAGAGCATTCAGTTATTGCAAACAGTAGCAGCTTTCACACTTGTAATTTAACTCTGAACGTTAACAAGATGGTAGTTTTTAATTAACCACCAACAGACTTAGTAATTGCTGAATTGGCATTTGAAAAAAAGTCAGCTATTCATTCTCTGGCACACAAATTGATTCATATAGATTTATGTAAATCTTGATATGGCTTTCCAAATCTGCACAACCTCAAATTCAATCAGTTTTATCCACTTGATCCCTTGATCTCCCAAAGTTGACCCTTCTACCTACATAACAAAATCCGCAAAAAGACAGACCCATTTGTCAAACCTTTTAAAGGAGATTTTTAAATTTTGGAGTTTATTGTACCACATTTCTATCATGTTTCAAGGCTTTTTAATACTGCAGTGGAAACAACAGCCAGATAATTATTCAGCATAGGAGGATCTAGACCAATTTTAAATAATGACTTTGCTTTTGTTGGTGATCAATCAATGTCCAATTAGGAAGAACACTGTATACAAGCTAGAAAAAGTCATGAATTGTTATATATAATAGGGTTGTTCTGGAATACCTAGTTTGACAGTTCTCTACTTTAAAGCCATGCTTTAAAGAGAGTTACATTCTAGTACACATAGTAGGTACCTAGTAAATGTTAGTTTCCTCCTTTTCTATGTGTTTGGGAAACTGACTTAACACTTTGAGGCCAGTGGGAAAAAAACTAATGCTAGGAAGAAAAAGGACAATGCATCTCAGCACCTCAGATTTTTTTTCTTTCTTTTTTACTGGAAGCTTGCTTCGGCAGATCCTATGACATTTGTTCCTGAGAACAGCTGTCTGTTGTTTCACCAGCTTCCCAAAAATAACCTCCAATAGAGCCCTCAACAATTTCAAGTGGCACTAGACAATTGCCTAGAGGGAACACACATATGGAAGAAAAATATTCAAATGGAATCCAACTGGATGATTAATTCACTTACCCCTTCACATGGTTATCTAAAGTCTATGCAATCGAGTTGGTTACTAAAGCTGGGTGAGTTTCACTCTGAGGTTTCCACTAGCAACCAGTCCCTTTTTGCCTGTTAGATATTATGGTAATCATAATACTGACAGTGTGACATCAGTAACCCCCATAGCAACAGATTGATGTGCAAATCAGATGATTAATTTAACCAAAGTTCAAACAAAAGGAGGTACTGGTTGACTTCATAGGCACACTGCCATGATACAATGTCAAGAGATGCGGAGAAGTTATCATTATGCACAGCAAGTAAGGAGCTGCTACCAAACCAAATGGTGTCAAGAAACAAGGAAGAGAAAGGAGAAATCAGACAAACCCAACTGTCTAGACCACCCATCAAAAGGCCCATACTAGTAGTTGGGCAATTTGACCATCTACTCCAGGGAAAATAGGAAAGCGGAAGAAACCTGTATTAATTTGTTAAGGATTATTCAATTAAGAAAATAAGAAATCAGGATGGAGGGCAGATAAATAATAATACATTGCAGAAGTTTGATGGATTTGGCCTTTTCAAAGCATGTTCGTATCATCTCACTTCATCCTCTGGATACTCTTATAAGCCAGCTGAGACAGATATTATCATCTACATCGCAAAAGCCTACTTCTTGTTGTTGTCTTATTTTGTTTAAGGAAAGATCGGTGAGACTATTAGCCTGCATCTTTCAAGAAAGACTGCTTAGATTTTAAAGACGTGTGCAAGACAAAATGTAACTGTGAGAAAACGCAATGCCTTCATTAAATTGCAGGATAGAGGGAATGATCTGAAAGGGGTGAAGAGGACAGTGGAGACAGCCTGCTTAGAGTCAAATCCCAGTTCTGCCATTTACCAGCTGGGTGACATCACATCAGGTAAGTTACTAACTTCACTGTGTCTCCTCCTCTTTGTCCATAATGGGGGATAATAAAAATGGTACCTGTATCAAAGGGCTATGTTATTCAATGAGTTATAATACACATAAAGTGCTTGGCACATAGAAAGCATTATATAAATGTTTTCTATTATTCTACTCATGAGCCCTAGCCCCAGAGAGTTTCCACATCCGGTATTTTCCTCAGGAGGCTTCATCTCATTTACACTTGCCCGTGGGAGTCTGTAGTTTCAGTCCTTTCCAGATTCTGGGAAAGAGCTGAACGTCTTTGGGTGGGTGGTTATGAAGGCTCATTGAGTCTCCCAGGCTGTGGCTCCAAGGGCTATGGCTCCACAGTTTCTGAATAGAGCATCAGTTTTCAAACAAACATGTAATGCAAATATTTACCAACATCCAAACATTGCATTCACCAAACAAAGACTTTGAAAATTGACACATTTGTTTCCATCAAAGCAAATAAATGATAGGCTTGGGTTATTAGGAGGCACAAGCATTTTGTTTACATTTCCCAGAATTGCTTTCAACAAAAAAGCAGCCAGCAGGTGGAACTGCTTCCATTTAAACAGTTAGACTATTGGGATGAAACAGACATTTCTAAAATATTTTCTTGGTTAAATCTCTGGGGTTTAAAACAAGCTAGGTAGAGAAGGATTAAATCAGATGATTTCAATCAACATCTATGGGTTGCGCCCTATATTATGTGCAAACTATTCTGCTTGAAATTATTCTCTTGAAAATCCACCAGCATAGTTATGATTCTATTGTCAGCATTATTCCATTTATGAATTCCTGTACTCTGTGCTATCCTGAAATATTTGGTTTCATTGCTTGCAGCACACCATCTCCCTCAGTTTTATCTGTGCAGTCCTGAGCATTAGCTTGTTTTTTATTTTTCATTCTCCCCATGGCTGCAAAGATATTTTATTCCATTTCTTGAGGGAAGCAAGTTTTAATTGAGTAGGTATTCAACATGATAAGGTACCTAAACCCTGAGAGCTTCCTCCTTTCATTAAAATGTAGATCCAATTTCTCTTCCCTTAATGCCACATGCTGGTATTAAACTGAAATAACGGAAATAGTAAAAGCCAGATGTCACTTCAGTCTCAGGTTTGACGTGGGGCACAATTTCCTCTCCTCAAATTTAATCTTTGAGTTATTTACTAACCCCATTCTTTGGAAGAATGCACAATTTAAATGTAAATGCAATTTACATAGGGGAGAAGATAGTAGATTTGCAGTTGCAATTGCCAATAACCATTTGCAAAAGGAGAAATCAACTAAAGCAAAGATCAGCAGTTGTCAGTCTAAAGCCCGCATCACTCATCATTCTCAGATAACTTCTGAAGCCACCTGCCTCTGAGTCTCCACTATGCAGGCAAAAGGAAGTGGAAAGCGGAGGCATTTCCCCAGATATTTCAGGCCGAATTTACTGCTGACCGGAGGGAAAAGGGAGAAGTTTGGGTTTCAGTGAGCTGATCTGGTTGGCATCATTGTTGAAATCATTAGCTGATCAATTTCTTTCAAAAATTATTTGTTGATCATCTCCTGTGGGATAGGGGTTATGCTTGGCCTAAATCAAGGAGAGGTAGAGGAGACTACAAAGATGCAAAAGCTATAGCCCCTCTTTCAAGGAGCTGACTGTCTCCTTAAAGAGAAAAGGAAACAAATAGCTACAAAAAATAAGATAAAGAGTGAAAAGAATGCTGCAGGAGCCCAGAATCTGAACCATAAGCATCCAAAGGTACATTGAAGCTGAGACTTCGAGGATGAGCAACAGTTTGCCCTATAAACAACGGGCTGGGGACAGACATTCTAGGGTGTAGTGAGCAAGACAAGAAGTAAGTCGGGTTGAATAGGTGGATCCCTCCAATTTGTGAAGGATCTGGTGTGTCACACTAAGGGCTCTGCCTTCACCTCTGGGCACACGTAGAGGTTTATAAATAGCTCATGGTATAATTACACCTAGTTTGATATCGAGTGGAGGATGAATTGGTAAGGAACAGTCTGGAGGCTACAAGACTCCTTGGAGGTTATTACAACACTCTAGAAAAGAGATGATTCCATTTGGGGGAGGACTAGAGAGGAAGACACACGATTCATGAATGATTTAGAAGGCAGAATAGCCACAACAGGATGGCTGATTATGTGTTTCCTCCTCACTTCACTTGCACAGGCACCATCTCAGTACAAATCTTTTGTCTCAGCCATGAGCCTGCTTACATAAGGAACCATATGGAGTTTGGTCTACACAGCACTGACACTTTAAAAATTATTCTGCACTTGTCTAGTCAACCCTTGATTATCTACACTACTTGAAGCCAGCAGCAATGCAGATAATCCATAACCCTCTTCTATTTGGCTTCGGAATTAATTACACCTTTTAGAGCAAATTTGCTTTCCTAATTAATCTTTCCTAGGCTAATATTAAAATTAACTAATATTCTCTGAGCCCATGCCAGCTGGGCAGGGGAAGTGGGGAGGTGCGGAGGGGGAGGACAGGGAAGCAGCTCAGGCTTAAGCTGAGCAGCAGGAGGATGCCAACACCACATTAAAATTCACCACGGATCATCCGCAGAGCTCGTGAGCCAGGTCTAGCTCGTTGAGAGGTGGCTGTATAATTAAAGACTCAAACCCCTTGGGAGTTCAGTTACTGAGCACCTACTACGTACCAGGCACCCTGCTAAGGCTGCAGATGAGGAAACGAGTGAGCCCAGTAGACTCCACTCTCAAGGAGCAGCCGGTGTAGTGGGGGAAATGGAAGAGTAAACAGAGCCTTTACTCAAATGCAGTGAAGGTTCTGGCAGAAGCATCTTCCCTTCAAAAGCATGAGGCATGAACAAGGTTGACAGAGGGAAAAAAACAACAAATGTGTATAACAAAGGGGAAAATGCTGCCTAATTGCCATTCTA
The DNA here is from genome assembly GCF_000001405.40 of Homo sapiens. Lineage (NCBI taxonomy): Eukaryota > Metazoa > Chordata > Mammalia > Primates > Hominidae > Homo > Homo sapiens. The sequence goes on from NC_000001.11 coordinate 205,425,809, forward strand.
TAAACATAATAGCAAATATGCTTTTAATAAAATGAGTGCATATAATTTCTCCTTTCAATAATCCAAATTAGTAAATTCTTTTTATATGGAGTAAGATGTGATTTTTCCTAGCAATTTTTGAAACTATGATACTCCAGTTCCAAGGTTTCCTCTGCAGTGCCTGGAGCTACCATGGAGGGGTGGGGGACACAGAGCAGCTCCACTCCAGGGGAGCCAGAACAACTCCACCCTCACCTGCTTTACACACTGGACTCATATGAAGAGTACACTTAAAGGAACACTTTCCCTGCTATACAAAGTTAGGAAGATATCCATCTACCCTATTTTCTGAGCTGCTGCTTAAAACCTAAACGGTCCTAACCTCCCGTCCTGTCATGAAGGCAAATCTGACCTTTGATGCTGGTAAACATGAGCTGGGGGCTCCTTTCCTGGTATCCTATGAGTCCTGCATACAGAGATTTATGATACAAAAACCGCATGCAATAAATTGTGGACAACCCACAGGGATAGATAAACATGTAAGATGTAGTTCTTCAAACGGATTACATTCTAAATGGAGAAACCAACCAGAAACACTCATGAGCAAAGGTAAGAAGTGAAAGTTCATAATCAAATACCAATAGAGTGGTAGCCATAAATGCCAAAGAAGGTCAGAAACAGAGAAAAATCTCCCCTGGTTGGGGGTGGTGTTGTTCAGGGAAAGCTTCCTGGAGGAGGTGGAACTCAGAGTGGGAAGAACAAGTAAGGTCTGGATTGGCAGGAAGCAGAAGGATGGGCATCGTAGGCAAAGGCATATCATGAACAAGGCTTGGGGGTAGAAGTGGGGATGAGACCAGGCTGGCTTCAGCGAAGGATGTGCTTTAGCTAAATGGATGGATACGGTTGAACTAGCTTGCAGAGAGCTCCAGGATTTCCCTGAGGGTGTTTAGGCCCCCAGGTCCCTTCAGGTTCCAGGATCCTTCCGGTCTGGGGCCCTCTGAAGCTGATGATGGGTTGCCATCCTGGAGGCCTCTAAAGAAGGGTGTTCAGGGCTGTCAGGAAGAGTAATCTAGCAAGGCAGGGCAGGATGGGAGAAAGAAGGCAGGGAGAGAGACCAAGTGTGTCCCTCACCCCAGTCACTCTGTGAAATGATAATGAACAGTAGTGGAGGAGATGCCGGGAGGCTTTTGATTACCAGAGTCACCAACCAGGAGCTCAGGAAGCCCCAGGGAACCTTAAGAGGCAATTTCAGAGTGGTTAGGAGAACAGGCTCCGGGGTCATACTGCCTCTGGTTGTATCCTGGATTTTTGTATCACTGCCTCCATTTGTGTCACTTACTAGCTGGGCCCTGGCTTTCACATCTGTGAAATGGAAATGTAGTCATAACAGTACATTCCTTCCAGAATTTTTAAGGACTGAGTTAACACATCTCAGGAGCTAAAAACACTGTTTTCTTTAAGTGCTCACAGTAAGCGCTCACAAGTGTGAACTGTGAGTAAGGCCTCAGTATGACAACATGGCTCTGGGGTCCTGCACTGGGATTCTTGCTGATGAGGGGACATCACTCATGACTGGGGCATCTCCCCATCTCATTTGATATCATAGCTCACCCCTTTACCTGGAAACTCAGGGAAACTGAAAGTAGCTTCTCATAATAAAGGCCAGTTGGAATCTGCTTTTTCTCAAAAGAACATTTGAGAGAGAGAGAGAGAGAGAGAGACAGAGAGAGAGACAGACAGAGCGCACACTCAAGGGAATGGGTTTTCACCGCAGTACACGTGGTAAGGAGCAATGTCATGAAATAGGAGACCACACAAACCAAGATGGCGAGAACATTGTGGGACATCCATTTCTGTCCTTAGAATCCAGGAGTGTTGAATTCCCATGGCTTAAAGGAGACTCTGTACCAGCAGGGATCTGAAGACAGTCACAGAAAGATAATAAAAGTGGAAGAAAAAGAAGACAGAAAAAGTAGTAGCATGAAATGGAGAAGGAATGAGGCTGAGATGGAAACTCTCATGGCTGATACACAGTCTGTACATGCAGGAGGATCTCCAAATTGACCTGGCCTTCTAGCAGCCATACAGAAAAACTCTAGTCAATTCCATACTCGTGAAATGGAAACAAACAACTGTTCCAGAGCATTATAACGGTTCCTGGTACTAAGGAGAAGTGTGGATGTTTCCTGAGGATCCCGAGTATGGAAGGCAATTGGGTGACTGGCAACGGGTGAGGCTGGAAGACTGGCAGAGGGCCAGACAGCCAAGGGCCTAGGAAGCAGGATAAGGAGCTCTTAGGCTTTATCCTAAGACAGTGGGAGCCACTGAAGATTTTATGGTGGTTTTTTGTTTCCATAATTTTAAAACATTTAAAATAAACAGAAGTCAATTACAAGCAAGTAAAGTCAAAGCATAATGAAACCCACATATACCCCTCACCCTGCTTCAACAGTTGTCAACATTTTGCCAATCCTGTTACCAAAAAGCTTGGAGCAGGGGAGTGATGCCATGACAGTTATCTTTGAGAAAGAGCCCTTGAGGTGCTACGGAGGGGATGAGAGGAAGGGTGCAGGACTGGGTACAGGGATATCGTTAGGTTGCAGCAAACCATTCCTTCATTCATTCAACAACTATTTCCTGAACCCTACCACATGCTTTGCACTAATTTTGGTGCTATGAATACAAGGTTAAATAAAGCAAACGAGGTTCCTGCCCTCCTGAAGCGTATTGTCCTAGGAGGGAAAAGCAGACACACAAGCAAATGGAGTGAACGAGAACCTTTCAGAATGTGATAATGAGACAGACTGATGTGACAGGGAAAGGCTTGGGAGGAAAGCGCTCTGATTTAGACTGGATAGTCAGGGAGGACCATGTGTGTGTTCGTGGAATGGCAAGAAAAGTCAGGGAGGCTGGCAAAGCATGAGAGAGAGGGTGGTAGACTGGAGAGCAAAGTGACAAAAGATGCTGGCTTGGACTAAGTAACTAGGTGGGGATGAAAAGAAATAGATTTGAGGGAGATTTAGAAGGGAGAGTCAATAGGATTTGAGAATTTGGTGACCTATCAAAGGTGGGGTGGAGAGTGGAGAGTGGAGAGTGTCAGGAATGAGTCAGATTTCTGGCTTGAATATCTCAGTAACCAGAGGTGCCCTTCTCTGAGACAGGGAAGAGAGGTCATGGGAAAAGTCCAGATCTCCACATGGCTCCCTCACAGCCTTTCAAAGTGAGGGCCTGGCAATGGGAAGCCACTTCCACCGCCAGCCCCAGTCAAGTAACCAGCTATCCATGCAGCTTCTGGATCAGACAGTTGCCTCAGGCAATTCCAAGTGATCATCACCACCATCCCTTACCCTCCACAGGTGGCCCCAACCCACCTCCATCTCCAATGACCTAGAGAGTATGGAAGGACACTTCTGGTCCAGTTTAATTTGCTTGGGCAGCGGAGGAGATGAAGGAGATGCTGCAACTATTTTAACACAGCCTTGTGGGGAGGGTGGGTATGTTGAACTGAACCAGAGGAATATGATATCCACGCTGGTGGTGTGTTTCAAAGGCTGATCTTATCATGATGGTAGGGGTCCTCTGAAGCCTTGTCAATGTCTCAGGACATTTTGTGGCTTGGCTCATTTCAATGCCGCATTGTGTCAGGCAGATATGAGGGCTGAGATTTGAAAGGATCAGGATTTTGCTGGGAGGCCATATGCAGCTCTGGGCTAGAGAGAAATCTGGAATTAGAACATCCATTATGCCCTCACACTGTGACTTTTGCATGGGGGACAGATTTATTAGAAGAGGCATAAAAGATGGCCTGTGGAGATAGCCGGGGTTGGGGGAGGAAGAGACCCCCAAATGCAATCTAAACCGGAGATCACAGTGGCTAGCACAGGTCTGTTTCTGGAAATGACTCCTCTACTCTCCTTAGCATGCTTTTTAGCTATTATCTGTCCTTGCCGCACCTTACCCGAGAAGGGCATTTTTCTCGGCTATTTTGATGTTGGGGGGTGGGGGGAGCAGGGACAGGCATTTGGGGTCATTGTCTGGGAATGAATCCTGGACAGCAGGAGGCTGCTGCTCTCACTCCTCATCCCCATCATCTGTCACCCAGCGAGGGCAGCCGGCAGCCAGGCCGCGGACTGCCTAATGAAGACAGAGAGGTGGTTCCGGCTGTGCACAGGTGTCGCTTCCCCATTAACAGAGGTGACATTCCGAAACACTACTCATTACAGAGCAGACATTGGACAGGGCTGGGACACATATTAATGGCAGCAGGGCCAGGCAGCGTCTGTCTCAAATCCCACTGCCCCTGAGAGAGCAATCGAGAGAGCAAGAAAGAAGCATCCTGAGTGTCAAACCAGCAGGCTCCTCACTTTGCAGAGAAAAATGAATTCTTGCCACATAGAAGGCCAAGTCATTCTCTCTGCTGCTTGCACACCCAAGGGTCCTCGGCTTCAGGCCCGCCCAAGCGCTGACCAGCTCCCGTAGAAGCCCCCAGCTCCTTCCCTCTTAGGAAGGGCTGTGTTGAAGACGGCTGGGCGGAGGGGCATCCTCAAATCAGACCTGGATCTGAATGGAGCCCATGAAGTCTTGTTTTAGAGATGGGCATGGATCCCAGTTGTAACTAGGAAGTATAGAGGGAGGCTATGGAGAATTTCCAGACGTTGTCAGGGACGGGGTGGGAGAGTAGGGTAGGGGTGGACAACCAAAGTCATCCAGAGGAGGTAAGAACAAGACAGATCTTCCTCCTGGAATGGGATGCGTGGTTCCCATGAGACAGGAGAAAGCCGCCCATCACCGTGGAGAACCAGGAATGGCAGACCACGCGGACGCCAACAGTTTACGCAGCTCCCCAGCTAGGTGCAAAGTGGCCAAAGGAAGAGCCGGTCTTCCACACGCACACCTCCGCGCCCACACTGCCCCAGGAGCTTCCCACTCAGCCGGGGGACCCCCAAGCAGCCGGCGAGGCGCACTGCGCACGCGCACTCAGGCCGCGGCTCCAGCCGCCCTCCCTCCGCAGTGGGGCGCCCCGCCCCCGCGCCGCTCAGTTTTAAACTCGCAGCAGACGGAACTCGACTTAAAAATAACTATTTTGACAGTTCAGATGTAAATATGTGAGTGACGCGTGGGGCTGTTTTTCCTTCACACTTCCCCTCACCCCTCGCTCCCTACCCCAGCTCAATTCGGCTGAGGCTGAGATGATGGGAGAGCGCCGTCTGCAGGATGCTCCCTAAAATGCAGCAGGAGGAAGAGACTTGTCCTAGAGAGCCCAGCGAGCTTGGGGGTGGGGCGGAGGACCCCCAGCTCACTTTCACTGCACAGGTCACACGCCTTTTGGGGATAAGCAGATTTACACACTATTTCTTGTCTATTACCTGAAAAAGGAGACGTTAGCCAACACACAAGTGAACTAATTTAATCATTCCTGACCTCTCCGTACCCAGTTTTCAGTTCAATTTGACCTGTGCATATTGACTGAATGTCTACTTCGTACCCAACACCGTGCTAGATGCAGTGCAACATGTGACACGTGCAACATGCACACTTGCGATTCCTAATTTTTTCAACGAACCTTCCAGTTAACTCATATTGAACACCTGCTTTGTGCCAGGCCGGGAGCTAGGTAAGCACTTGAGCACAGGCTATCTGACTTGACCCCTGCAAAAACTTGTGGATATTATTATCTGCATTTTCCATATGAAAAACAGAAGTCTAGGGAGATTGAGTGACTTCTCTAGGCCGCCACAGATAGTAAAGACAACAAGTCTTGTGCTCTTCCCTCCATAGCCAATTGAGTGGAAGGTTGGTGGAGGCAGAGTTCCACCCACTTTATAAGTAGGGGAAACTGAGGTCCAGACAAAGTCGCATGTCTGTCTGGTCACCAATACACATTTTAGCTGGGGCAAAGCCAGGAGAACAACACGGAAGCTTTTTTCTTTCTTTCTTTCTTTTTTTTTGAGACTGAGTCTTGCTCTGTTGCCAGGCTGGAGTGCAGTGGTGCGATCTTGGCTCACTGCAACCTCCGCCTCCCGGGTTCAAGAGATTCTCCTGCCTCAGCCTCCAGAGTAGCTGGGACTACAGGTGCGTGCCACCACACCCAGCTAATTTTTGTATTTTTAATAGAGACGGGGTTTCACCATGTTGGTCAGGATGGTCTTGATCTCCTGACCTCGTGGTCCACCCACCTCGACCTCCCAAAGTGCTGGGATTACAGGTGTAAGCCACCGCACCCGCCCAACACAGAAGCTTTAGGATTACCAGCCTGCAGTCCCTTCCCAATCTTCTGGTCCCAGGCAATGTGGTGGGGTGTGACAGATAACCACGTGATATCTTTGAGGTTCTCACTGTCTCTTTGGAAGAAGGGTAGGGAAAAGGTAGCAGGAGAAGAGTTAGAGAAAGGAAGAGGAAGGGAAAAGGAGGGAGGAGGGCTGAAGAGTGGACAAGCATAAGTGTGTGTAGACATGCATGGCCTGGCCAGGTAGTGCAATGAGATAGGGAAGTTCAGAGAGCCCCCAGCCACTCCTCCTTTGTGTGCTCCCGGTCTCCCACCGGCTTGGGCCTCTCCCTCCTTGGCCCAGTGTGCACTGCTCCCAGGCTCTTTCCCCTCATCCTAACAAAACCTGCTCCAAGAGGGAATCTGAGGTAATCACTGATGCTGTGGGACAAGTGCCTGAAAACTGCCCAGTGGTTGCTTCCTTTCTGGATTACAAACCCCAAGAGATCAAAACCTGAAGTCAAAGAGAGGAAGCACTCATGAAATTTCAGATGTCAGACTTTGGAGAGGAGAGGAATTTGGGAACAATAAGGCTTACCTGTGACAGAAGAGGCTTCCTATCATACCTGCCAGCAGGGTCATTGCTAGCTCTGTCCGTGCGTACATACAGCCATGGGCAGAAGTCTGTAGACGCTGGCAAAGAAGAGAGGAGGGTCCCCGGGAAATCCCACCTCAGCCAGGCACAGTGGCTCTTGCCTGTTATCCCAGCACTTTGGAAGGCCAAGGCAGGAGGATAGCTTCAGCTCAGGAGTTCAAGACCAGCCTGGGCAACATAGTAAGACCCTGCCTCTACAAAAAACTACAAATAACTAGCTGGGCATGGTGGTATGTGCTTGTAGTCCCAGCTACTCAGGAAGCTGAGGTGAGAAGACCACTTGAGCCTGGGAGGTTGAGGCTGCAGTGAGCCATGATTGTGCCACTGCACTCCAGCCTGGGCAACAGAGCAAGACCCTGCCTCTAAAAATAAAAAATATAAAAATTCCACTTCTTATGTGATGCCTTCCCTGATTCTTCCCTACTCTACAGTTGTGTTCTCTCAGGACTCTGAAGCCCTGGAGCACTTTGCTTGTACTTTAGCTGAGGCATTTTTGAGCCTTGCCACATTGTTTTCTAAATTATTATTAAATTGGCCAGGCATGGTGGCTCACACCTGTAATCCCAGCACTTTGGGAGGCACTTTGGGATCACAAGGTCAGGTGTTCGAGACCAGCCTGACCAACATGGTGAAACCCCGTCTCTACTAAAAATACAAAAATTAGTGAGGCGTGGTGGCGGGTGCCTGTAATCCCAGCTACTTGGGAGGCTGAGGCAGGAGAATCGCTTGAGCCCAACAGGCAGAGGTTGTAGTGAGCCGAGGTTGCGCCACTGCACTCCAGCCTGGGCAACAGAGCGAGACTCTGTCTTGGGAAAAAGAAAAATAATATTAAATTGTGAGTTTCTCGAGGGCTGGAGCAATGTCTGGCTTTCCTACATTTCTCCTGCAGCCCCTCCCACAGGGCTTTGCATAGGGCCGGGACTCAATATTGATAGAACAGATTCAGTCAACAGCAGTGCACAGCATACATTTCCCCATGCAAGAGGGTGAAGGCTGGGCTGCAGACAGCAGAGGGACTGGGGCAGGCATCTTGGCGGACTCCTGAAGATGGAAAGGCTTGGGGTCATATCTGCCCCAGACCACTTAACAAACACTTAGTGAGCGCTTTGTGCTAGGCATCATGGTGGCTGAGCCTGCAGAAGAGGCAGCCAGCCCTCTCAGGAGCAGTCAATCCACCGCTCTAAACAACAGCTGCCTGTGTGATACTTGAGTCTCGTCTTGGCCCAAATCACTTCTTGCCTTACAGGAGACTGGCTTTGGGGTTAGACTTGATGGCCTGATCTCTCCGCCCTCTCTCAGGGCGTCCTGCTTCAGAGATCATTGGAATCTCTGTTCCCCCATCCAAGTGGAGTTATGACATAATAATTCTTTTTCAAACAGCTTTATGGATATATAATCACATACATGATATAATAATTCTTGTTCTTAATGTTATGCCATCTTATAGCATCTTTCTCTCTTTTATAAGTCTGAAAATTCCCGTGTGTTCTGTGAATACAGTCTTAGGTTCTGAGAAGCCCAACTAAGGATTCTTATCTTTCTTTTTTTTTCTCTCTCTTTTGAGACAGGGTCTTGCTCTGTTGCCCAGGCTGGAATGCAGTGGCATGATCTCTTCCCAGGCTCAAGGGATCCTCCCACCTCAGCCTCCCAAGTAGCTGGGACTACAGGTGAATGCTACCATGCCTGGCTAAGTAAAAAAAAATATATATATATATTATATATATATATATTTAGTAGAGACGAAGTCTGGCTATGTTGCCCAGGCTGGTCTTAACTCCTGAGCTCAAGTGATCCTCCTACCTTGGCCTCACAGGCATGAACCACTGCGCCTGGCTCTTTCTCTTTCTTAAAAGCACCTTTAAGACTATGTGATCACATTGTAGTCCTAAACCACCTTCCCTGTTCCCCACACCCACCCACTCCAGCTGGCTTTATCCCACCATTATTTCTGAGATGGTAAGAGGCATGAGGCCTGGCTTCCTTCAGTTTAGAGATAGCACAACGGAGGCTCACGGAGTTCCAGGAGACCTGGGGTGTCTCCCAAAGCCTCCTTCTTGGCCCCAACACCTCACTTTATGTCCATACTCCTGACTCTTCCCCCCAGTCTCCATTCTCCCTCCTCTCAGCAGATTTGATGGAAACAAATGTTTAGCTTCTGCTGCTGCAGTGTATCACAGTGCAAAATAAACACGGATGCCCCTTCTACCCTGACAACATAATCCATTTACTGCAAAGGGATATAATAAAGTCTGTTTATTACAGCAATTAACAGAGCAGCGTTTGCCGGCATGCTTTTCAGTGGCAACCAGAAAAGTGCTTACTCCAGGTGCATAGATTCGGGAAACCATGCAACTTGAGCCAAAATGAAACCAATTAGAGGCTTAGTAAATGGGTTCCAGCCACCCCAGGAAACTTAACCATCCACGAGTCAGTTCAGCCGAGGAAGAACCTCAGTGCAGGAGTTTAGCATGATATAGATTGCTACTTTACAGAATTAATCCAGACCTGTCGCCAGGGTTGTGGTCTTGAGGACGTGAAATGTATCCGCCCAACACAGCCACCCAGGTGCTGGGTTCAAATCTCGATAAACTACATAGGGGTATATAGGTGGGGAACGTTAGCACCATTGACTCTCAGGGGTCTCTTGCCACTGCCATGGAGGTGGGGACATAAGGAGAGGACTAGAAGCTGGGCCAGAGGGAACAGACAGAGAAAGAACAGAAATCCTTTCATTAGACCCTGTCTTCAAGAGCCTGGATTGAAATGTGGCCATCTTGAGTAGGGGTGAGGAGGAATCTACTTTTCAGCCTGGAGAATATATGCTATTTTGCTTTAGGCAGAAAGACTGGACAAAGACATGAAGCCATTTGTTCCGGTTCTTTGGTGGAGGGACAGAAGAAAGGGAAGTACTGGTTTCAATTCCCCAGTGAATCTGATTGCTAATTAACCAAATTTAATTATCTATCCCCTTTTAGGAGGGCAGGGGTTGGCTTATACCACCAACAGGACATTCTTCAGAATGAAGTTTAATTTTCCCAAGAAGGGAAGTGGCTGCAGTGTCATACCTGTGTAGGAAAAAATCCATCCTGATTGGCAGCTCTTTTCCAGTCTCTCAGGGAGACCATGCAGAGTTTTGATCTAGAAAACATAAACCTGGGTGCCTGAGCCAGGTAGAAAACCAAAGGCTCAAAAGGGCAGAGACAAACCCCTGTTAAACAGTTCCCCCTGGCTGAGGGGTGACCTTAGGGGTTCCCCTTTTCTCCATCACTTTTTCCCATCCTCAGGCCTCTGGGAGAAGATGCTGTGTTAAAGGATGAGGGCAGAAACCAGCCTGGCCTCTCTGGAACAGAGAAAGTTAGAGCTTTGAGCATCATGAACAACGGGATAAAAATAGCAGTGTTGCCATGGCAACAGAGGCTGGGAGAGTCCTGAGGATCTGTCTGGGTCCTGCCATCTCCCCCTCCTGCCTTCCTCCCGCCCCTCAGATGGAACACGGGAATGAGCTGAAGGAGGAGAGACGGCTGCCCCAGAAGGGAAAGAGACAGACCAGCAGCCCACGAGGAAAACCCTTGAACTCCAGACCTGGGGGGTGGTTTCTGTCAGCTCCTGAGCTGCCCAGGTCTGGGAGCTCTTGGCTTTGGCAATTTCTTCCTCAGTATGACGACTTCCTCCAGGGATGCCCTGGGCAGCTACCGCTCACCCTCCTGGTGGATGGTTCTGACCTCCTGGGCTCCTCCGTGAAGAGTCAAGGTTCCTGTTTCTTCTTCATGATCTATAGTTCCTATCCCATGGAAATTTAGAGAAGCGAACCCAGGCGGACTGGCCACAATAACCCCGGCACAGTGGGCACTGACCACTCCAGGGATGGCCTGGGGTCCAGAGGATTCACCCTGACAAGGCAGATACCCTTGTCAGCAATATGGACTTGGGGGGCTGTGTTTGTGTTGGGAGCAGGGTGATGATGGTGACAGCTCTCTCTTGCTCTTGCTTTTGGGTCAGAGAGATAGAACATTCATTCCTTGGGAACAGATTCTGTTTCTTGGTTCTTGTGGTACTGTCAGCTTGATCACCTGCTGGACATAGCAGCCACCTTCAGGAGGAACACCAGACTTCCTGGACCAGCCTGCAAGGAGCCCACTGAACTCAGCAGCCCAGAGATTTTCTTCTCTGGTGAAAGCCCACCTTTGCAGTTGTGAACCAAGTATCTGTCTCCAAAAGTTCCAGCCACATCTGGGCACATCTGATAAGTGTGCCCTTTATAATGCGTGCCTTCCTGTGAGGTAGGGAGGAAATGGGACTCATCGCCACCTGTTATGGAGGAGGCTGGGAGAGAGGAGGCAATTTGCCAAGGTCAGGAGTCAGTCATGGCAGAACACTGGGGGGCTGTGGCTCTCCATCCAGAAACAATCACCAGCACATTCCACCACCAGCACATCTCCAGCCACTGGGCAAAATGCATATTCAGTCTGTAGACAGGACAAACTCCAGCCTGAGGCACTTCCCCTTGCAGAAGGCAAGGAATGAGGTGGGGTGGTTTGATCAGCATGGAGATGAGCACATGAGGAGCTGTGCAAAGGGAAGCCCATGGGTTACATAACTGGAGCAGAGCGCCAGTCCTTGAGATCTCTTCTAGAATCACTTGAGCATCTATCTGCAGGTGGTTGTGGTGGTGGTGGTGGTGATGCTGTGTGTATGTGACAGAGAGAAAGTGAGAACGTACATAAGAGTGGCGCCTGTGATGGCCTAGACAGGACCTGGAGTCAGAGTCTAGGCCAACTGACTTACTCCCCTTGGGCCTGGCTGTAGGAGGGAAGAGAGGCAGAACTGCAAGGAGTCCTGGGCCCTGGCTAGGGGAAGATTCTAGCAGAAGCTCTGGGTGACTTGCCTTTCCCTCTCACTCCCCCTCTCACTTCTCAGAGCCACCATACCACTTCCATCCACCCTCCAGATATGTCTGTTGTCTGCACGGAGTGCATCTGTGAGGGCAGAGGAAACCTGCGACCCTCTGGTTCCACAACCCTATGCCCCACTGAGGCTCAACTTCCCAGACTCACAGAGCCCTGGACTCCAAAGGAGACTTAAGAGGAAATTTATGTAATCCCCTATTTATAGTTGAGGAACCTGAGTCTCAGAAATAAGACATGACTAGTCTAAGGTCACATAGGTCATTAGTTTCCAAGCAGGGCTAGAAGCCAGGAGACCTGGCTCCCAGCTCAGTGCTCCTTGCATCCCACTCTAACACTTCATGTGTATTTCAGTTAGTTAATTATTGCTCTTTTTTTTTCCTAAAAATAACAATCTCCCTATATATTTCTATGAACCCATATGCTACATGCAAAAAGCCCTTCCCTGGGAGCAGAGAAGGAAATGACATTCTGATAAAAAGGTTTCAACCTGAGACAAGAAGCCCCTTGGGTCCTGTGGGCCAGGGTCCTAGGCAACACTCAAGTCACAAGGACCCCAAGCACCCTTCACACTTCTTGATCTTCCATTCAGCAGCCTGAAGCCCAAGAGGGAAAATGGCCATGGGAAGTCCTCGCTTTACAGATGGGGAAAACTGGCCCCCTCACCCATCTGCAAGGAGGAATCAGTGCCACGCAGCAAGAACAAGAGGCCTGATCTCCTCCACAGAATCATCTACCCATGTGCCCCTCCCTCACCCCAAGAGCTCAGGGCCCCCACCTCAAGGTGGAGTCTCTGGGAGAGAACCATGGAGAGAGGATGGGAAGGCAGGGCAGCCAGGCCAACCCTAGAAGGAGCAGAAGCCTGGCCCGAAGTCAGAGGCCCAGGGCGCAGGGTCTGCGAATGCTGGGGCTGCTTTGGCCTTTCCCTATTCCCTGGGCTCATCCAAGGGCCTAGAGGAGGGCACAGGTGTCCAGACTGCTTCCTGAGATGCTAAAAGGAGCAAAGTCCCCATTTTCCTGAGAAGGAAACTGAGGGACAATAGAATGTGGGGTTGGGGTGTGCCTGGCTAGAAGCTGCTACCTCCTGCTCAGACAATTCCAGCTGCAGTGCTGGCCCCAACCTCAGCCCTGGGTGAAGAAGGGGCTGCCGGCTTGGAGGCAGAGGACAACTGGACCTCCACTCAGAACACTTTGACCTTGGGACCCCACCCATGTTCCCAAAGCCAGGGCTCAAGATATCTAGTATCCCTCTGGAGCCAAGGGAGTTCTCCCGGGGGAGGAAGCTCTCTGGATGGGCTCACTGCCAAACCCCTGCAGCTGCAATCCCTGCCAAGGCCTGAGAGGCGCACAAGGGGAAAGCTCTCCTCGGCCACCCGCTCCCCAGGACGTACTTTCTCCACTTTCCTAACCTTTCCTCCTGGTGAGCCTGTGTGGTCAGGACATAACACCCAATATCTCTGAGTCTCCGGGGATACAATTTCATCCTCTGCCACAGAAGTGACTTTTCTAGGATTGCAGCCTCGCAGGTGACCGCTAGGGAAACACATGCCCTCCAGGAGGCTCTCTGGCCTCTGTATCAAGGTAACTTTTTCTGCCCATCTCTTTGCCTCACCCAAGGCCTCTACTATCCAAGAGGACAAAGAACCAGGGAGTTTTTCTTCTGTCCTTTGTGACCCCACTGGCCTTTATTGCTGAATCTTGCTGTTCCCTTGAGGGAAGGACTTCTGTTTATAATTCTTTGGATATAAAAGGAAATAACAGATTGTAGAAGGTGGGGGCTAGGAGGTAGGGGCAAAGGAAGGGGTTGGAGGATGGGAGGAGGAACTCAAGCTGTGCTCAAGCCTCATAAAGACAACCTGAATCCCACCCAATCTGCCCAAAGCCCAGGAAAGGCCCCTGAGTGTGGGCATGAGCTGGGCAGGCAGAGGCTGCCAGCATAGAATGTGCCCTTGCTTCTCCCAGGTTTTGGGCGAACCAGCCGAGGAAGACTTTTGCCCTCCCTAGTTGCCCAGAGAGGCCCACATTCCAAGGAAAGGGGAGCCCTGACTCTCCTATCTTGGGGCCTTGCCCTCTCTACCCAGGTCACCTGTTTACCTGTCAGAAGGGCTATTCTGTCCCTGGGGAGCTAGAGGGGGTCTGACTTTGCTCCTTGGCTGAGCTGCTCCCTGATGAGGGAGAACAGGCTTACAGAATCTGCCTGAAGCATCTCTGCTGCTGGCATTCGTCTCTGCCTGTCTTCTAGCCCCGGAGAACTCCAGGATTAAAGACAAAAGGCTAAGTTATACCAAAATGAAGGGAGAGAGGAAGGAAGGAAGAAGGAAAGAGGGAAGGAAATGCTTTTTTCTTTTGCTTCCTACCTCCTGGAAATGGGCTGGGGGTAAGGGCAGAGGCTGAAGCTGGAAGGTTGGCGGGGGTGGGGGATGAGGGAAAAAGTCGAGGAAGGTCCTAGAGGTCCCCCCACCCTAAGAGTTTCCACTGAAGGCACCACATATGAACGCAGTCCCCTCTATGGCTTCTGAGGAGAGAAGAAAAAGGCAGGGGAGACAGGAGAATCAAGGGAGGGCACGGCTCAGTCCAGGAAAGGGGTCCCTCAGTCTGGCCACGGCAAGACAGTCCCTGAGGAGGGGAGTCAGGGCCTGGGGAACAGGCCTCCCCACATCTGTGATGCTGGCAAGGAGGCACAGGCATCATGAACACGGGTGGGTCAGGGCCGGGGCTGGAGGAAACACTGCTTTCTGGAGAGCAAGAACAGAGGGAGCCACGGAGCCACTGGCCACCTCTGCCTTCCTCCTCACTGGGCTGGCCACCTCAGGCCTGGCCCCACCTGGCCCAGGAGGATGCTGGCAGGGGGCTGGAAAAGGATTCTTGCCCCAGGTCCTGGAATCCCAGGAGAGTCTCACACTTCCGCCCTGGAGGCCTTCTCCAGGGTCAGGGCTGCTGGAAGTTCTCTGCTAGAGCAGCCAGTTTCCCATTTAGCAACAGCTCTCCTAGCCCAAGGCGGCACATGCCTCATGCGGTTACCCTGAGAAGAGTCCCCCGAAGCTCTCAGGGCAGGAAAGAAGTTTCACTCCTTGGCCTCCCTGGGGCTTCTCAGTCTCTGGAAGGCATGCGGCAGGTCCTGGGGTTCCCCCTTGTGTGGCTGGGGCCTCTCTCCAAGGAGGTCTGAGAATTGGAAGCTAATGGGTGTGGGCATGAGGAGGATGAGAGGCACACAGGAGGCTGATGCCCTCGGGTGAGAGTCAGGCTGAGAAGAGCACTGGCTAAATCAAGACTTAAGATACACACACGGCTTCCTGCTCCAAGCCCCAGCCAGAAGCAGGCACCATCAGGCCTGGGACCTGCTGGGGGCTTGATGGAGGGGCCCTGGTTCTGATCACACCGCCGTCTCCCGCTCTCTGTGAACTTCCTCCTTCTTCCTCTTCATTTTGCAGAAGCCGTGGAGACCACAGAAGCAGGCGAAAGTGAACTGGGGCATGCCCTACGCCAGGCTGGGGGAACACTCACCAGAGATCTGCAGGGAAAGGCAGGGGAGGGAGAGGGGGCAGGAGAAAGGCAGGAAGAGAGAAGCAAGCTGGGGTTAATGCTCCCAGAACCCTCTGGGTCTGGCCCAGTCATTGCCACTCCCTGAGGCGGCCCGCTAGGTCTCTCACACCGGCTGGGGGAGGAGTCAAGCCTCTAAACAACAGCTCTTTGAAACCTCAGTGTTTCCTGATCTGTGTGGAGCTGATGTCATTCCTCACATTGGAGACAGGGTGAGTCCAAGGGAGGAAAGAGAATGCCCAGCTGCTGCCTCCTTTTTTCCCCTCCCACCCGCTCTGCCCCACCTCATCACCATATACCTGTGGTTGGGGAACAGGAAGCAAGCTGGCTTAAAATAGCCTCCGGCTTGTGCCACCTTACACCAGGTTCTAGCTGGGGGCTTCCACTCGCTTCTGCAGGTTGCACACACGACAGGCCCTCCTCCATCCAAATGCGGACCCCTTCATCCAGTGTAGCTTTACTTTGACACCTGGGACCGAGTCAGATTCCTCCCTTCCTTAACAACCCCAAGTTGTCTGACACCCTAGGAAAGCCTATAGGGAGCAATTATACCCTTCCTTTGACTGCTCAGGGCAATGCAAATCCCATCCTCACCATGCAGAGAAGAGACAGCAAAGAGGGTTCTTTTAGCCAACAGGCTCTTTTATTTAGCACCTATGCTGGGCAAAGGGTTGAGAGGTAGATACAAAAGGGTAAAGACATGGTTTCTTCCCTGGCACATAAGTCTGAGGTAGAGGCTGAGGCTGGATCTGCCCCAGCTGGACACGCTGTCCCCCACCTCTGGCTGACCCGGCCCTCAGCAGGAGCCAGGGGCCGCTCTGGTATCTGTTGCAGTCTGGCTGGGGAAGAGAGGGAGCTTCAGGAGCTCAGCTTCAGTCTGCAAGAGTATCCCTTTCTCCAAAGGCTCATTTAGGTTTCCCTAGCCTTAACCACCTGCAGATTTTTCCAGTTCACCTCTCTGCCCTTCCTCTGCCCCTGGGCCTATGGAAAGGGAGCAGAAGTGCACTCAAGCCACTCAAGCGGAGAAGCTGAGAACAAAGGAAGGAAAGCGCCCTGCGTGGAGGTCAGGCCGGGGCCTGGTCTGAATCACTCCTCTCTCCAGGAAGAACATGGGGGCAAGCAGGTGAGTGAAGCCCAAGTGCTGCGGGGAAGGAGGGAGGCACAGGGCTATGCGGAAGGGGTTTGGAATAGGGAAGCATGAGGCGCCTCCCTTCTCCAGCCCCTCAAGCAATAGAGATTGCATAGGATGTCCTGGGTTACCCCAGCAAGGCACATGTGCAAAGTGGTTTCACTGCCTTTGAGGAATGTGGCATGGCCCAGATGGTGGCTCTCTGGACAGTTCCACTGGTCTGGACAACCTTGCCCTTTTGGAAAAACTTCCTTCGTGTTTCTCCAGACAGAGCCAAGGCCCACACCAAGCACAGTGCCCGGTGGATCCAAGTCCTGTCAAGATTCTCCCCTCCCTCAGCCTCTCAGCGTCCCGGTAATACAGCTAATAGCTGTAATTAATAGGTGCAATGCATTTCCACTGGCCAGCTGGATGGGCAGGAGGCCCAGCTTGAGTCAGCATGGGTAGGTAGGCTGGTTATTTAATAACCCGATTTCCAGCATCATTTACACACCCACTCTGGTGGAGTATATATAGTTAGCAGAGAGCAACCTCCAGGATATATATAGAGCCAAGACACAACTACTATATTTCTAGATCTATCCCCTGCAGCTATCTCTGGATCCCTCCTGTGACAAACCTAGAGAGAGACGGGGATCCAATCTGGGACTTAGGTGGCCTGGGTTCTATTCCTGGCTCTGATGCTAACATGCTGTGTCATCCTAAGCAAGTGGCTACATCTCTCTGGGCCTTCATTACCTCATTTCAGTGTACCAGGAGATTAGGCAAGATTTAACACTAAGACCCCAAACCTAAGGGGCTGGAATCCTAACTTGATCCGGAAGGAGGGAGGGAGGGCAGGTGGATTCCCGTGTAATCAGTTATTGTCACACGTGCACTTCTCTTGCTGGGGATATAAGTCAAGGGTATGATCAACAAAGCAGTCCCATGATTATTGAAAAATACATGGGGAGAAATTGACAGGCACAACAAGGCTAATCTGGGAAGGAACTCCCAACTAAAACAAGCCAGGCAGGTAGCAGCCCCACAAACAGGTCAAGGTGCAGCTCAGGGTCTCTGGCCCCAGAGTGCATCGATCCCCTTTCCTTTTCACCCCACTTCCTTTTCAATGACTGTTCTTTCTTAAAAACAGCAGAATATACCCCCTTAAATGACCCGTTCCTCCCCAGGGTCCTTTGGGGAATTTAAGAAAATCCTGGCTTTTTTTGCTCAGCTTGTCACTGTAGGGAAGGATGGGGAGTGAGGTCACAGGAACCAGAACCTACACATCAGAGGAAAGGAGAGCTAATGAAGCTGGCCAGGAGCTGGGCTAGGGGCTGTAGCCTGGCTCCCGAGAGGTGTTCGAGGGCTGGCTGCCTCAGTGGGATTCCTGGGTCCTTGTATCTAAGAGTAGAAAGTATCATAAACAGGGCCTGGTTATTCTGCTCAGATCTTTGCTCTAAAGTGCTCTGGTTATCCTTCCTCTTCTCTAACAGGGTCTCTAAAAGGGTCCTCACTGTAAGGTGCACAACTCCATGCCCCGGAGGCTGCCTGGGCTCTGTCTGCAGCATGCAGATTGCCGGGCCAGCCCCTGAAGTGGGGGGACATGGGGCAGAGAATTCCAACCCATTTCCGTATCCCTGCCCGCTGTGAACCCCACTCCTCCCTCAGAGTCCCCAGCAGCAGGTACCTGGGGAGTCCCTCTGCCAGGCTGTGGTCTCTGCTCCTCTCTGCTTTGCTCGAGCAGGAGTCCTGTCGACTCTCTTCCCTGACTTTACCCCTTCACCCTTGGCAGAGGGCTCCAGTACCAGCTGGAGGCTCCCTGAAGTCAGGTCCCCTTGCTGCGTCTATTTGAGGGGGAGGAGTCTGGACTAGCACCTGGGTCCACTCCCCACTCATCAGAGCTCATCATGGGAACTCCCCTCCCATCCTCCCCCTCCTTTTCCATGCCCATAGTCCAGGAGGGACTAAGGAATGGAAAAACAGCCCCCAGAAAAACAGAAGCCCAGAATAGGATGGAGAGGCAGGGTGGACACTGGACAAACCTCCTGCTACCACACAGTTGGCTGCATCTGACTGCAAGCTGTTGGCCCTGGCTTCTTCCCCATCCTCCTCTCTGGCTTTTTCCCAGCTCAGGTCCAAGATGGTTTACGGTCTGGGGGCACAGACGATGCCCTGCCCAGCCAGCTTTGTGGGAGCCAAGCAGAAGAGATGCCAATCCATAGAGCATCCGTCCTCCCCCACCACTAGGAGGTTCCTCGGCCTCCCTGCTGATCCTTTCCCTTGGCCTGACCCCCACATCTCTCTGTGCCAGATACTCTCCTGGGGTCCTCCAACCCTTGCACCTCTGGCAAAAATGGGGCAGTGAGTCAGAGACAGCATGAACATGTGGAAGAACCAAGAGAAAGAGGAGACTCAGAGCAGGCCAGAAAGTAAGATAAAGAGAAATCCAGGGCCCCAGGCTTGCAGACCACAAACTCCTAGGTGTCTCGAATTTTGGCAATGTCCTTCATCAGAGTGGGCGGCAGCGGGGGTGGAAGGCTAGGAAGCTATTTAAAAGTGCTGGGGCATGCCAGCAATTCTCTGATAAACAAGAAGAGGGATATTGCGCCCCCCACGACCCATCCCTTCATCTCCCAAGGCAGAGAGCAGAGGCACTCTCAGCAAGGCAACCCCCACCTTAACTCCCCGCCACCCCCCACCCCAGGTAAAGGGCAAAAGAGAAGTGACCCAGTAAGGAGGGTGTGCCCTCGACGCCTCTAGAACAAAGCTGAGCCCTCCGCCCCCTCCCCGGCTCCCTTAGCACCGCGTCTCAGTAATTAAAATATGAATTCACCTTCCCTCCCTGAGCCATTCATCACTGCGAAGGGAAGCAGC
Source organism: Homo sapiens (assembly GCF_000001405.40). Classification (NCBI taxonomy): domain Eukaryota; kingdom Metazoa; phylum Chordata; class Mammalia; order Primates; family Hominidae; genus Homo; species Homo sapiens. Next base: position 205,445,077 of record NC_000001.11, read on the forward strand.
TGCGGCTTAGGAGACCGGATTTGGGGGATTAGCTCGGGCGGTGGAGCAGACACACCAGGAGAAAGAATTAAAAACGAAGGGGGTGAATTGGGTTTTCTCTCCCCACCTCCTCCCTCTCCCTCTCCCTCTGGCCGCCACGGAGCCTCCTTCCCCACCCCTTCCCCCAAAGCCTAGCCTCTGCAGGTTTCTGGGAACTGTAGTCTACAAGACCGTGTTGATAAACAGGCAGGCCAGGGGTGGGTGGTGGCACAAACTACAGATCCCAGGACTTCTTCCCGGAGTTGGCACCAGCAAAACTGGGCACAGACCTCCAGTCTGGGAGAAGCCCGCATTCTCCTTGGAGGTTAACTCCTTCTTGGCCTGCTTGAGCCTGAGCTCTAGCCTCTGGCTCACCGAGCTCTCTGGAATCACAGGCCAAGGCCTCTGCCTCCAATGGCCTTCAGAGACCACAGACCCTAGCTTGCCAGACCAGCCACCCTTGTATCTTGCTTGCCCACCTATGGAGAAAGCTCCCTCCACTTTTCCAGACTGCAAGGGCAGCCAAGCATTCTCAGTGGTTCTGAGATTCTTGGGAGCTGGAGAGGTCAGAGCAGCAATAGTCCTGAAATGTCTTTGTGGCCTGCACTCAGTGTTTTCCAGCCTGGCTCGGCAGAGGCTGGCCCACCGTAAGAGTGGGCAACGTGACAGGCAGCAGCAGCTGGGAACCTGGTGGACCAGACTGTCAGCGCCAGAATGAACCCCAAAGGTCAAACTTTAGTGTCAAACTTTCGAAAGATGGGGAGAGAGACTTTTTTTCCCCAATAGTCTTTATATTTAGGAAGGAGTAGGGCTTAGTAGTCAAACTCTATTTCCACTAAAAATGGAACAAATACAATAAGAGAGAGTCATCTGAATTCAGTGTTGTTAAACATGGGCCCACTCTCGCAAGGGAGGCCTTATGCTGGGTATATCTGAGGACTGTAAAAAAGACTTAGATTGCTGGGAATAAAGTTTCAGCCGTCTGCAGGCAGGGGACAGGACACACACAGCCCTCTGATCTGTGAATCCTCCAGGGAGAAGGGACATGAGGGCAACTTGCTTATTCAATGCAATTGAACAATCATGTGAAATATACAATCACATATCTTCTCCAGGCCTGTCCCATTGGCAGTAGCCAAGAGACAAAGAATAGAATGGAGATCCACCTTTGTAACCCCCAGAAGCAATCCAGGCCCAGCCCCAGCAAAGCGAGGACTGTCTCGGGTGAGTTGCTGAGCTGTGGGCTTGCTCTATGTCCCTGCTGGTGGCAACTTACCTCTTTTACCCCATCCATCTTTTCTCCCAGTTCGTACTTCATTCAACAAACATTTACTCAGCCATCCCTACAAAGTCCCTTGCCTTGCTAGAGCTTTACAGAGGTATAATCTCTGGAATGGCTCATCTGTACCCTTCCTCCTAGGCTGAGCCCAGTGCTGGGGACTACCCGGGCAAACTGAACAACAGGATTCCCGGGAGGGGCCCAGTTGCAGGGGGCAGGAAGGTGGCATGGCTCTAACCTGGCTTTCCAGTTAGGAGATCAGGAGTTAAGGGAAGGAAATCAGGTGCCTGGACAGCCTCAGAGCAGGGTAGGGAACAGGATAGGCTCACTGTGGGCCCAGGGCAGCTGGACAATGAGGGAGGTGGAGGAAGGTGCCAGCCATCTCTGAACTCTGGGTGAGAGAACCCAGAGGGCAAGTAAGAAACCCTGGCCAATTCTCATGCCTTGTTCCTTTCACCATCTAAGCTGGGGCAGGAGGGGAAGTAGCCTGGATCAGCCCCAGCAAAAACCCAGCTGGCTTGGGATTTCTCTTTGCTTCTCCTATTGTTCTGATCCCCCCGCTCCCCCCGACCTCCTGTGGGAAAAGGAAAACCAGTGATGGACAAAGGGTGATTGGAGTTGGGCCACGGGGCCAATTTGTGGACGTGCATCCAATAGAGATCTCGTGAGAACAACCTCCCGTCTGGGTACAGCACTCCCTGGTTTTCAGAGTACTTTCCCATGCACTGGTGTTGGCTCTCCCAATATGCAGCATGATGTGCTAAGAGCATGGGTTTTGGCACCAGACCACGTGGGTTCACGTCCCAGTTGTGCTCCTTCCTATCCATATGAACGTGGGCCAATTTCTTAGCTCCCTGTGCCTCAGAATTCCCATAAGTTAAATAGGCTAACAGTAGACAGGACTGTCTTGAGGATGAAATGGGTTAGTGCAGGTGAGGCGGTTAGAATCATGGGGTACATAGTAGGTACCCAGTAAGTGTTGGTTGGTGAAATTAAGGGCTCTGAGATATTATAAGAAACTTGCCTTCTGATTGTCAATACCAAATCTAGTGCTTTCTGTGATTCTTCAGTGGTCTGTCTTAGACAGACTGGGGACTGGAACAGGGAGTAGGAGGCGGGGTACGAGGATGCTTCCTCTTCCACCACAGCCACCTGTTGGAATCTTCCAGGATGGGAGGGCTAAAATCAGGCCGATTTAAAAGGGGGCAGGGGAAGGAATGTGGGAGTGGCGACAGGCATAGGGAGGAGCCAGGCAAGCTGAGTGACAAGCAGGACGGGGGCAGGGAGGGCTGGTGCCCTTCACACACCGCAGGAGGGGGCAGCTCCTGGAGATGGTAGCACACCAGGAGCCAGGGACCCTGGAGTCCAGCCTGTCGCCCGGGGGAGCGCCTGCCTTCCTAGTTTCACTCTGCAGACACCTCCTCTTCCCTCGTGGCCGGCATGGAGTGTTCCCATTTCAGCCTCAGAAAGAGCCCAGAGGTCTCCTTACACAGAAAAAAGGCTGCAGATTCCAAGCTGACCTCAGAGAAAGGAGTGAAGGAGTGAGGTTTTCCTGGAGGCACTGAGCAAAGGCCCAAGTCTTCATGGCCTGAGGCCCTTGACTTCAGCCCCCAAATCTCTGGCCATAAGCCAGGCCTCAGTAATTTGGCAAGGGGGAAGGAACCGACTCAGAAAGCTCAGCACACCCTGAAGGTCTCCTTCCTTCCTCAGAGGGAATCTCCCTCTGGAATCACCGGCCCAGTCTCTTCATTCCAGAGTGAGGAAACAGGGCCAGAAGGGAAGTGACTGGGCCAAGGTCACACGGCTTAGCCCCGATCCCAGGTTACCAGATCCCGTGATGCCCCACCCCCAAGCAAAGCCTCCTTCTGGTGCCCCTTGGTGGCTGGCTCCGAACCTGGTCCCATGGGAGGTGCAGCTGCGCAGGAGAAGGAGCTCGCCCCTCACTGTAGCCCATGGCTTTTAGCCCTACATGAGTTTGGGACAGCAATCACATAGGAATGAAAAGCCATAGGCCACAGCAGAGTGGAGGGGTCCAGCGGCAGGAATCTCATAGGGAAGCGAGAAGCTGGGGCACCCGAGAAGCCCTCACTCCCCTTCTCAGCACCCCCGACCCCAGACCCACCCACACTGCCTCCCTCCAGGACTGGGCCCCCCAGGTTAAATTCTCTCACCATCTTCCACCACCTGCACTAAAGCCATCCCAGTAATGAGTTTCCAGTTCTTGCCCTACAAAGGCCTCACACAATGGTCCTCACTCCAGGGTATGAGGAGGGGTGGCTTCCTGGCCATAAAGGACCTCCTCAAATTCCCTTAATTAGCTTCCAGCCCCCTGCCCAGGGTCCTTAACTACCCCTTCCCTAGAGAATAAGGCCGGATCTTTTCAAGGCTGCTGCTGCCAGTACCCAGGATGGGGGGCCCCAGGTTAGGCTCCCTCTTTACAAAGCTTAACTCTTTCTAGTCCAGCCACTGGAAGCACAGAGGGCAAAGGAGGGTCTGGGTAAAGGAGGGCAGCGATGAGGACCTACCCTTTGTTTAGAGGGGTTAAATAGGTTTCTTGAGTGCCCCCAGGGGTGGGGGCTGGGCCAACCTACCCAGACCAGTCTGGGTGGTTACCGACAACACCCATTCTTGCATAGTTTAGAGGAGAGTGAGATCTCTGTCTCCAGACCTGGTTGGAGTCAGAAAGAGGGCTTCAGCTGAAACCTCCCCAAGCTGAGGGCAGCTCACTCTGGAGCCATCCCTGACAAGGCTGTGGGAGGGGTGCGCAGTGCCCTGCCGCTCTCATTGGCAGGACATGGGGGTTAGCACAGACATCTCTAGGACTGGATTGAAGAGCTGAGTTAAGGCGAACCAAGGTCTCAGGGCCCTGGAAAAGGTGTGTTCTAATCACAAGTGCTATTTCCCCACCCGCTCCCATGACGGGTCAGCTGCAGGCATCAGCTTCAGAGAAGTGGGCTTCTAGGGCTCCTGCTAGCCCAGGCTCAGGAAAGCCCCAGGGGCCTCAGACCTCTCCCAGGGGCCCCCAAGAAGATGGTAAGAGGCCCCAGGCCCAGATCAGGCCCTGCCTCTGCCAGGGAGTAGCTGCCTCTCCCACCCCAACTGTACCCTCAGCCCCAGGGCAACACTTGCTGGCTCCCTGCACAACCCTGGTAGAAGCAACCTGTTTTCACTGGACAGGAATCCTGCATTCCCCAACAACAGCACAGCACAGCACAGCACACAGCACACAGCACAGCACAGCACGCCCCTCCACACACTCCAGACATGCCCAACCTTCAGGGCCAAACAACCAGGCATCCTGCGGCCTCCCACCTGAACTTTGGGCCATCTGCCCCAGCCCCAACCCCCTCTGGTTCTCCTTTCCTTCCTCTCTCATGGGCCCCCAGAACCCCAGACCCAGGCCCTGCATAAAGCCATGGACTCTAGGCAGAATGCCCTCAGCTCCCTCCCAAGGGATGCTGGGCCAGGGGCTGGGGGTCCCAGGGGCTGCTCACCTGGCGGACTCAACAAGGCCCCCTTTCCCTCGCAGTCCGCCTCACAATTCCCCGCAGAGCCACTTCCTGCCTTCCAGGCAGCCACTCACTCCTCCACTCACCCCGAGAAGCTCCACGCCCCAGCGAGGGCAGGCCTCCTCCCTCCCCCTGCCCGCCCACCACCGGCCAGGGCTGAGCTGTACCCAACTCAACTTGACTCACTTGTGACCGGCCCCTCCCCCAGCCCTGAGGACGGTGGGGGTGGGGGTGGGGGCGGGCTGGGCAGGCGGGGCAGCCAGGTATTCCTTCAACCCTGACTTGGGCCTGAGTAACAAAGGTCTCATTGAGCCTCTGGCTGTCTGGTCGGTGAAGCACAAACCTCTTGTATCTACTGGCTTTTGATCTCACTCCCTCTGAACCAGCCATGTATTACTCACGTCCCCCTGCCGGGCTATTGGTGCAGAGGGGCTGTTTGGTCCCTCCCTCCCTCCCCATCTCCTTTCTCTCCTTCCTTCCCCTGCCGCTCCCCTCCAGCTTTTTTATAGTTTAATTTTTGGCAGGAGACCTGAGACGGCTCCCTGCAGGCCCCCCTCTCCTGCCTGGCCCCCCTCCCCTTCTCCGCAGCCCTGGTTCCTCTCCTCACCCATACCCCTATTCTGCTCCCACCACTCCCCTGCCCTGGGAGGACAAGGTCAGCACTTATCTGTCCTTCCATTTCCTTTCTCAGACCTGCTCGAGCCTGGCCCCCTCCACCCACCCTCACCCAGTCCTGCGCTCGGATTCCCAGCCATAGCCTGCCAATCCCAGCTGCCTATCCCTGGGCACATGAAGGGCTCAGCCCCTGGCCTGCCTACCAATCCCAGCCCACCTGACAAGCCCCAAGTAAGCTGTGGAAGTAGGGCATCTCTCTCTAAGGTGTGTCTGGGCCAGAGGGACTGGGCTGGGGATGGAGGTGGGGACAGCCATCATGTCTCAGGCTGGAGTGAACCTCACTTGAAATATGGAGAAAGAGGAAGCAGGTCAAGCCTCACCTCCTTTCCCGAGGAAAACCCTGCTTCCTCCAATCCCGAGAACCTGGGCAGTGAAAGGCCACTGCTGGGCGAGAACCTCGAGGACTCCCTCTCCTCAAGATGGGGCCATGCCCACGATTCCTGTCTCCTCTGGGGCCACCACAACCTTTCTGCAGCTTGCTGGTGGTGAGAACTGGGGCCCAGCAGCCCAAGGGGCCCAAGGGATATCCACTGTGTATAAGGGCCACCTCACAGGGCCACTGGAACATTTTCTCTTTAGCTTCCCCTGGCTCTGTCCCCCAGGATCCCTTTCCTCCCTTTCCTCCTTGGCCACTCCAGGGAGAGAGGCAGTCACCTTTGAGGTCTGAGCTCTCCCCAGAAATGCCAACAGATGCTAAGAATTCCCATGGTGGCCAATTCTAGAGCCTTGCCCATCCCCCACACCTACCACCAGTGGCCTCCTCTCCACTTCAGGAGTTTCCACCCCTCCCTAGCCCTCAGGTACTCCCATTCAGCCGGATTTGGGAAACTTCTGCCCCAACAGAGGCCCCATTCTTCCTGCCGCAGGCTCCCATTGTCCCTCATGACTCCACACATTCTTGGGCCTCTGATGAGAAGTGGAGACAGCCACCCGCCCTGCTTGCCTGCCCTTGCTGTCAGCACAGCCTGGGCCCTGCCGCCTGTGGCAGGAGTTGGGGGGAGTGGTCGGGGGGGTAACCAAGAGGGAATAAAAGGAGGTGGGAGACAAAACAGGAGTGAGGGGGAGATGGAACTGAGAGACACAGAATGGAGACACTGAGAGAAATTGTGAAGAAGAGGACAGAGGTGATAGCAGATGGAAATGCAGAAGAAACTCAATGGGAGAAAAAAGGCGAGAAGGGGAAAAGCAACTTTTTTTTTTTAGTGAAAACTGTGTCATGCATCTAGGTCCCCCTTAATGATCATCTTTCAGTAACACAAATATTTATTATTATTATTCCCATTGGGTAGATGAGAAAACTGAGGTTGATGGAGGCTACAACTTGCCTGGATGGGCATTTTTTGCTCTTAGAGGAGAGGGTAGGAGAAGCCTGAGAGAGAGAAAGCAGAGAGCCAGAAAAGAAGAATGCTGACAAAGAGAAACTGGAGGCAGAGGTGGAGCACAGGCAGAACCGGAGGCAGCAGGGAGAGATGAGGGGGCCTGGGGCAAGAGGCGGAGGGAGGGCTGGGGAGAAGAGACCTCAGGTGTCCCTGGCCTGATTGGCTGGTGGGTGTGCCCTCCCCTCCTCTGTAGTAACAAGTCCCTTAATCTTAGTGCAAGCTGCAGAAGCCAGGTCCAGCATGAAAACTAAAGCCTGTTTCACTGGGGAGCAGGCTGCAGCAACTCCCTTTTTAGGGAGCCCCCAGTCCCACCATTTCCTTCAAGGGCACACAGTCACCACCCTGGACCTCAGCCCACATCAGGGCACTGGTTGGAGATGGCTCTGGTTGAGGCTAAGCCAGGAGGAGAACTCCTTTGCCAGAAAAGTGAACCATTACCCCTCCGCAGCAGAGAAAGTCACAGAGGGAAGGGCCAGGGGGGCAAACTGGGCTCAGTCCAAGAAAGGAAAGAAGTAGGACTGTTCCAACAGGAGCCAGTGGGCTCCCTGTCACCAGAGATCATCAAACATAGGGTGCACAGCCACTTCTCAGACCCACTGCCTGGCACACAGTAGCTGCTCAATAAATGGTAAGCTAATGTAGAAGGGATCCTTGCATCTGGAATTAAGTTAGACAGATAAAACCTAAGGTCCCAACAACTCCAAAATTTCATGAGTCTACGTTGGAGCTTACTCATCCTCTCAGAGCCTTTCATAGACTTATGTACCCTTTGCAGGGACTTAGAGCTCAGCAGACCTGCCTTTGCCTATGGTGGAAGGGAACCAGGACATTAGGAAGATACTAAATAAAAGCCACTTGCTTTTACCACCCCACATATACTCCAATCCAAAAAGACTAAATCAGAAGCATTTCACATTATTCTATGGATGTTGGCTGAATGGTATAGGTATACATTCAATGAATGAATGAATGGCTGATAAAGCTTGGAAACAAGAGCAAGAGATCTAAGCTCTCCTGTATTTCAGGCTTGGTGTGTGCTTGGAGCTCCCTTATGCCTGTCCCCTCAGGGAAGAGAGTCCCTGGGCTGGAACAGGTTATGGGGTGTGAGTGGGCAGCAAAGCCTGGAAATCTAATTCCACTCACATGGGGGTGGGAAGGCACTGCTGAAACTTCAGAGAGCCTCAGGGGATCTGATTCTGCTATCTGCCCCAAACAAGCCTGCAGATTCGGAGTTGTGGTTGAGACGGATCTGTGGGTGCAGTCCCTGGCCCAGAACCAACGCACGAGAAGGCTAGTTTCATGAAGATGGACCCAGCAGGCTCCCACATACATTGTCCTCCAGACCTGCACTAGACCAGCAGTGTGCTTGCTACGGAGAAAGGCCACTAGGTAGCCTTTCCCCATGACTCCGGTCCCCTCTGCTCCGAGGTCCCATCTCTACTCCAAAGGATGGACAGCTCAGGTTCCCTCTCATTTAACAGCTTGGGAGCCCCCAGCCCCCTGAGGTAAAGTGGGGTGGGCACTGCTCCACTGAGCAGGAAAGCACAATTTTTCCCCCAAGGGCTTTCTCTAGTTGTTCCAGGAGCCTCAGTTCTGAGACTTCCCAGGCAAACAGAGGGAGGTCCTAGCCTGGCAGCCCTGGGTTCTTAGGGAAGGGAGAGACGGGAGACCTGGCAATAGTCCCAGGCAATGAAGATAGCAAGAGACCCAGGGGCAGGAGAGCAAACACGGGCAGAAGCTGGGGGAGTCTCCGCAGCCTGGGTACCCCCAGCCTCTGCATCTGATCTCCAATAAGCTCCAAGGTTGGGCTGTGGGAGGGAGGACACAGGGAGGTTCTTGTGTTACAAGAATCTAGCCTCCCCAAGTCCAGGACCCAGGCCACAGTTTTGCCTCTCAGCCAATAAAGCTGTTAAAGAAAAATATAAGAATGGGTCATTGGCAAACTCACATGCATTTCAACCTGAGCAATTTATGAATATCGAAATGTCTCAGTGTCTGCCCAAGCACTATTCCTGCCCCCACCCCTTTTCTTCCATGCCCCTCCTCAACCCCCATGGGGTGATGGTGCCCCAGCCCAAAGAACTATGGAACTGGGCTCTCCCAAGCCCCTGTGGAGTACCTCTTGGAGGAGGAGGCAGACAGAGATGAAGGGTGGGGAGAATGGCTTCAGGGACACCACTCATTTATCAAATATGCACCGAGCACAGACAGTGGGATGGGCACCGTGCTAGGCACCAGGAGACAGCACTCAGGGAGGCCCAGCAGGCAGTCCAGTGGGAAGACAGGCCCATATGCATATGACTGCAATTCAGAGCAGTCACGTCAGCAGGACTGTGGTCTCCCCTGCCACCCAGTCTTCATGTCACCTCTTCCAGGGTTACACTGAATTTGATCCTCCCTAGTTGAGGGTCTCTCCTTCCTCTTCATGCCTTTAGGATGGTAGTCCCCAGCTCTGAGACTCCTGGATGTTCTCTTTGTGTGTGTGGGGTGCGTGGGATGGGGGTGGGGGGTGGTGGTGTATGGGCAATGGGAGGGGCCCTGAGTCTCAGAGAGTGCCCAATACTACTTGGAGGAAGTGTTATCTGGTGTGAGTGTGTGTGTGTGTGTGTGTGTGAGAGAGAGAGAGAGAGATCCTCTTTTCCTGCCTCTGTGGCAGCCCCAGTGGAGCAATGGAAAGCCGGCATTGAATGACTGAGAGATAGAAGTTGTTTGCAGCCCCAGGCCTCCGTTGTGTCCTCCTGGAGGGCATAAGCCACCAAAATTACCCCTAAAGGGGGTTTCTTAGAGGACAATCCCTTTCCCCTCAATTCAGAGCTCTTTCACCAGGGGTTCCCATCCCAGCCTCAAAAGAGCTGACTTTTCCTCCAAAGTTAGCCCTTCTTAAGGCTCAAGTTGAGAAAAGTTGTTCACTGGCAGATTAAGGTATGTAAAAAAAAAAAAATCGTCAGGAAAGATTAAATCAGACCAAAAGAAGAATTTGTTAATGAGGGTTGAGGAAAGGAAGGCAGTATACAAGCACTTCCAAACGGAGGCTGTGGAATGTTGGTCGGAAGGGAGGGCTCTCCCTTGGGCCCCCAGACGCCCTCTCCTGACCAGCTCAGCACTGGCAGGGCTGGCCAGCTCTTGTTCCCCGGGGGCACCCTGTTATGGACCCTTTCTCAGGAAAGGGAGCACCTATCCTTGTCTAGCTGCCTTCCTGGGCCCCTACCCGGCCAGAGCTCCTCCTCCAGGTGGGCTCCTAGCTCCGGCCTTTCTTAGGCATGCAAGGGCCCCAGGGATGGGGAGGCAGTGGGAGGCAGGCTTATGGCCAAGAGGTCTGGCCAGACCTAGACCCCACAGACACAATGGCTAGGAAGGACTCTGATGTGTGTGGGGAGTAGCTGGTGTCTCCTCTAAGCCTGGGACCATGTTTGCCTCCACATATACTGGAGTTGGTGGTTTGGCCCACGGACATGGCTTCTCCCAGGCCCCAAACTGGGGTCTCCTGGGGCCCTCTGTTCCAAGGGTACCAGACAAACATATGCACAGGTGTCACAAACCCCTGATCCCTAACCCCTTTACAGCCCCTTCCTCATACCACTCCATACCATGGGGTATAAAGGAAACGGAGGAGGCACTCCAAGCGGGTTTCACTCAGCGGGGACAGGAGGATCGGCTACCTCCGGAGCCAAGGCTCCCTCTCACACTCCCCCCAATCCCACCAGCGGCAAAATCCTTTAAAAGGAACAAAGGCAATGGGGGCGGGGAGGGGGCTTCCTCTTTGGTCGACCTAGGGCGGCGGCTGACGCAGCCCGCCGCCGGTCAGCTTTCAGGTGAGTGCCTGAACCCGCATCCCGCCCATGCCTTAGGGACCCCTCTTCGCCCAGCCAAGCCCGGGGCGGGGAGGAAAGTCCCCCTCAGCCGCACTCGGGCCCCCAACCCGGCCAAGGGGTCGCCAACTCGCGGCACTTTCTGCCTGTTTGTTTTCGCTCAGTACTCACAGTTTAGATGCTAAGCCGGCTCCTCTTGCACTCACTTCCTTTGTGTCTCTCTCTCTCTTTCTCTCTCTCTCCCCCTCACCAATCTCTTTCTTCCCTCCTTGTCCGATTCTCTGCTGTAGCTTCCAGTGGAGAAAAATAATTATTCTTCAATGGGTTAGCACGGGGCGCACGCACACACGCGCGCGCACACACACCCCGCCGAGGTACCCAATCAATGCACAAATCTTCGGGGTCCCTTTAACCTCTGCGGATGACTCCGGGAGTTAATTATGAAGCCTATTTCGGCGCGGCATAAATATGCATTAAGGTAGGAAATAATCGATACGCTGAACTTCTGGGAACTGGCATTTAGACGGACTCCGTCTCGCCGCCCCCCACTCCCTCCATGGCCCCACGAGCCACCTCCACAGCCTCGCGCCTTCCCGGGGTCGCAACGCCTATCACAAGCTTCTACCCGGGTTTCAGGGGGCCCCTGTAGTGGCGTGGGCGCCGCGCCGGTGCCGGGAGACCCCCTCGTGCGCCCTCTGCGGTCGGGGCAGACCCTCAGCCGGAGCTTCTTCCTCCCCCACCCCTGCAGGCCGGGCCCAAGCTGCGACACCCCCAGCACGGGCTCAGCCTGTGAACAAACTCCGAGCTCAGTACTCGGAGGAACTGGCGAGAGCGGGACGGCTACCTGCCCGCACGCCCGATTTCCGGGCACAGCTAGAAAGACCGGGACGCGATTCAACTCCCAATCCGGTGAATCCGCCTAGCGCCTTCGGGTCCTGCCGCCCCCGGCCAGTCCCGACCCGCACACATATGCAGGCATTTGCACACACGCGCGCACACACATGCACGCACATGCACACACACATATGCACACCCTCGCGCACACAGACACTCCCGCGCGCGCTCACGCCCGCACACACTCAGGGTTATAACAAAGGAAGAGGGGCCAGCGCTGCCTTACTTTTGTCTCTCTTCTCTCTTTTGCAGCCCCCCAGCCCCGGGGCCGGCGTGCCCGGCCCACCCCGCCCTCCGCGCCCCCCGACGGCCGCGGTCAGCCGGCATTCCGGAGCAGCGCGTCGGAGCTGCAACTTCGCGCCTAAGCGCCCGCACCTCGCAGCCCGGCGGGCGGGAGACAAAAGCTGCGGCGCCGCCGCCGGAGGCCGCGCGGCCAAGGTGTGTTCGCTAATTGTCAGGAAATGTGTGTGTGTGCGGCCGGGAGCCCGCAGGGGCGGGGGAGGGGACGGAGGAAGAGGAGACCCACCCCTCCTACCCCCGCCACTCGCCAGCGCCGGGTACCCGAACCGGGATTAGAGAATAAATTATCTGCTCTCTTCTCATTGGGCTGTGGCTGAGGACGCCGTCGGCGGCGCCGGGCTGGGAGCTCTCCCGGCTCTTTGCATTCACCGCACA